>NC_000006.12:96282911-96434426 GCF_000001405.40 Homo sapiens | reverse complement strand
CAGGGTGATTGCAACCCCACAGGAGGAGCACTCCCCAGATTCAGGCCCACATGAGAGGCAGAGTCACAGTTCCTCCCTACTTGGAATCTCAACATTCCTACAGAATAAAAGAGGTGCCTGTCTCATCTGAATAGCTGGAACACTGACAAGAGTGAGGCTGTGAGTCGGATAGCTTTCCTGCTGGCCTGGCAGGGAGCCGAGGTAGCTCCCACTCTTCACCCTGATAAAACTTCAGCACATCTGAGAGCTCCTCCCACCACCTTCATCAAGGCTGGGACCTCTTACCACCACTGGGTATTACATCTACCCATCTGCCTTAGCTACAACTAGTGCCTCTTCAGGGATACCTTCCTTATTGGCCTGAAGCCTGAACTGTCAACTCAGTAAAAAAATACTGTGGAAAAAAATGAATAGTACACAATGAGAGAACAAGATAAGCTTCAAGTGATCTCAACTATGCCAACCCCATAGAAGACAGTGAACTTGCCTACACACAAAGTACATAACTACTACAACCAGCATCTGGGAAAGCCAGTGCACAAACACTCTCTATAACTAAGGAAATCATACAGATTCTTCACACCTAAAAGCATCAATAATCAAATTAGGCTAAAATAAGTTATAAACATTAAAATTCAATCCTTAAGAAGAAAATTAAAATAATAAAAAACCAGTCTGATCAAAAATAAATTCAAGTACAACTTGAAGAAATAGTTATCCAAATGAGAGGGAACTAGAAAAGTAATTCTGGTAATATGACAAAACGGGGTTCTAGAACATCTCTAAAGGATCACACTAGCTCCCCAGCAATGGATCCAAACCAAGGAGAAATCTCTGAAATGCCAGATAAAGAATTCAGAAGGTCCATTATTAAGCTACTCAAGGAGATAACAGAGAAAGGTAAAAACCAACTTAAAGAAATCTAAAAAAAAATACAGGATATGGATGAAAAAGTCTCCAGAAAAATAGATATAATAAAGACAAAACAGTCAGAACTTCTGGAAATGAAAGATGCACTTAGGGAAATAGAAAATGTAGTAGAAAATTTCAACAATAGACTATAAAAAGTAGAAAAAAGAACTTCAGAGCTCAAAGACAGTCCTTTCAAATTAATCCAAACAGACAAAGACAAAAAAAATTTAAAAAATGAATAAATTCTCTAAGAAATATGAGATTATATAAAATGGCCAAACCTAAAAATAATTGGTGTTCCTGAGGAAGAGAAGACAAAAAGTTTGGAAAACTTATTTGAGGGAATAATTGAAGAAAAGCTTCCTTGTCCTTGCTAGAGATCTAGACACCCAAATATAAGAAGCTCAAAGAACTTCTGGGAAATTCACAGCAAAAAGATAGTCACCAAGGCACATAGTTATTAGGCTATCTAAAGTTAAGATGAAGGAAAGAATCTTAAGAGCTGTAAGACAAAAACAACAGGTAAACTGGAAAGGAAAACCTATCAGAGTAATAGCAGATTTCTCAGCAGAAACCCTACAAGCCAGAAGAGATTGGGGTTCTAGCTTTAATTTCTCTTTTTTTTTTTTTTTTTTTTGAGATGGAGTCTTGCTCTGTTGCCCAGGGTGGAGTGCACTGGTGCGATCTCGGCTCACTGCAACCTCCACCTCCTGGGTTCATGCCATTCTCCTGCCTCAGCCTCCACAGTAGCTGGGACTACAGGCACCTACCCCCACACCTGGCTTATTTTTTGTATATTTAGTAGAGATGGGGTTTCACTGTGTTAGCCAGGATGTTCTCGATCTCCCGACTTCGTTATCCACCCGCCTCAGCCTCCCAAAGTGCTGGGATTACAGGCATAAGCCACTGCACCCAGCCTAATTTCTTAAAGAAAAAATTGTCAGTCAAGAATTTTGTATCTAGCAAAACTAAGCTTCATAAATGAAGAAGAGAAAAAGTCTTTTTCAAACAAATACTGAGAGAATTAGCCACTATCAAACTAGCACTACAAGAAATGGTAAAGGGAACTCTAAATTTTGAAACACAAGCTTGATATACACCAAAACAGAACATCCTTAAAGCATAACTCTCACAAGGTCTATAAAACAATAACACAAGGAGCAAACAAAGTATCTATGGAACAACTAACATGATGAATAGAACAGTAACTCATGTCTCAATATTAACGATAAATGTAAATGGCCTAAATGCTCCAATTAAAAAATACTGAATGGTAGAATGTATAAAATACTACTAATACCAACCAGATATCTGCTGTCTTCAAGAGACTCACCTAACATAAGAACTCACATAAACTTAAGGTAAAGAGGTGGAAAAGATATTCCACACAAATAGAAACTAAAAGCCAGCAGGGGTATTCTTATATCAGACAAAACAGACTTGAAAGCAACAAAAGTAAAAAAGACAAAGAAGGACATTATATAATGATAAAATAATTAGTCCAACAGGAAGATATTGTAATCCTAAATTTATATGCACCTAACACTAGAGCTCCCAAATTTATAAGAGTTACTACTAGACATAAGAAATAAGATAGATAACAACACAATAATAGTGGACTACTTCAGTACTCCACTGACGGCACCATACTGATAATCAAAACAGAAAGTCGACAGAGAAACAATGGACTTAAACTATACCCTAGAACAAAGGGACTTAAAAGATAATTATGGGACATTATTCTCAACAGTTGCAGAATATACATTTTTCTCATGAGCACATGGAACTTTTTTCCATGATAGAACATATGATAGGCCACAAAACAAGTCTCAATAAATTTAAGAAAATCAAAATCATATCAAGTATCTTTTCAGACAATAGTGGGATAAAACTGGAAGTCAACTTTAAAAGGAACACTCAAAACCATACAAATACATGGAAATTAAATAATCTGCTCTCGAATGACTTTTGGGTTAACAATGAAATCAAGATAAAATTTTTAAAATTCTTGGAAATGAATGACAATAGTGTCACAAGTTATCAAAACCTCTGGGATACAGCAAAAGCAATGCTAAGAATTCATAGCATTAAATGCCTACATCAAAAAGTCGGAAAGAGCACAAATAAACAACCTAATGTTATACCTCAAGGAACTAGGCACAGGAACAAAGTAAACTCAAACCCAGCAGAAGAAAAGAAATAACAAAGATCAGAGCAGAATTAAATAAAATAGAAACAAACAAAAAACAATACTAAAGACAAATGAAACAAAAAGCTGGTTCTTAAAAGATAAACAAAATTGATAGACCATTAGTGAGTTTAACCAATAAAGAAAGAGAGGAGCTCCAAATAAGTTCAATTAGAAATGAAACTGGAAATATTAAAACCAATACTACAGAAATACAAAAGGTCATTTGAAGCTACATTGAACACCTTTACATGCACAAAATAGAAAATTCTGAGGAGACAGATAAAATCTTGGAAATATACAACCTTCGTAGATTAAATTAGGAAGAAATGTAAACCCTGAACAGACAAATAACAAGTAGCAAGATTGAATCAGTAATTAAGAAATTGACAACAAAAATATTTTAAGACAAGATGGATTCACAGCTGAATTTTATCAGACATTCAAAAATGAATTGGTACCAATTGTACTGAAACTATTCCAAAAGATACAGAAAGAGGGAATCCTCCTAAGTAATTCTATGAAACTGGTATCATCCTATTACCAAAACCAGAAAAGCACATAACAAGAAAATAAAACCCTACAGATCAATATCCCTGATGAACACATATGCGAAAATTCTCTACACAATACTCTAGCTGAATCTGAGAGCATATCAAAAACATAATACATCCTGATCAACTGGGTTTCATACCAGTGATGCAGGTATGATTTACCATATCAATAAATGTTATACATCACACAAGCAGAATTAAAAACAAAAATCATATAAGCATCTCAATAGATGCAGAAGAAGCATTTGATAAAATCCAACATTCTTTTATGATTAAAACCCTCAACAAAATAGGCATAGTAGGGACATACCTCAAAGTATTAAAAACGGTATATGACAAACCCACTGCCAACATCATATTGAATAAGGAAAAGTGGGAAAGCATCCCCCTGAGAATTGGAACAAGACAAGGATGCTCACTTTTACTGCTTCTATTCAAGATAGTACTGGACGTCCTGGCCACAGACATCAGATAAGAGAAAGAAATAAATGGCATCCAAAGTGAAAAAGGAGAAGACAAGCTGTTGCCGTTGATGGATAATATGATTGTATACCTAGAAAACCCTAAAGAATCGTTTAAAAACTCCTAGATGAGATAAATGAATTCAGTAAAGTCTCAGGATACAATCTCAAGGTACACAAGTCAGTAGATCTGCTATACACCAAAAAAGACCAAGCTAAGAATCAAATCAAGACCTCAATACCAAAACTATAAAAACCCTAGAAGGAAATCTAGGCAATACCATTCATGACATAAGCACAGGCAAAGATTTCCTGGTGAAATCACCAAAAGCAATTGCAACAAAAGCAAAATTTGACAAATGGGATCTAATTAAACTAAAGAGCTTCTGCATAGCAAAAGAAACTATCATCAGAGGGAACAAGCAACCTACAGAGTGAGAAAAATTTTGCAATATGTCCATGTCATAATGGTTTAATATCTAGAACCTACAAGGAAACTAAACAAATTCATAAGAAAAAACAAACAACCTAATTAAAAAGTGGGCAAAGAACATGGACAGACACTTCTCAAAAGAAGACATTCATGAGGTAAACAAACATATGAAATAAAGCTCAATGTCACTGATCATTAGAAAAATGCAAATCAAAACCACAAGGAGATACTATCTCACACAAGTCAGAATGATGATTATTGGAAAGTCAAAACACAACAGATCCTGGCATCGCTGGGGAGAAATAGGAAAGCTTTTACACTGTTGGTGGGAATGCAAATTAGTAAAACCACTGTGGAAGATGGTGTGATGATTCATCAAACATCCAGAACCAGAATTACCATTTGACCCAGCAATCTCATTACTGGGTATATACCCAAAGGAATATGAGTCATTCTATTACAAAGATACATGCATGTATATGTTCATTGCAGTACTATTCACAATAGCAGAGACATGGAATCAACCAAAATGGCCATTAGTGATAGACTGGATAAGGAAAATATGGTAAAATACACCATGGAATACTATGCAGCCATAAAAAGGAATGAGATTATGTCCCTTGCAGGGACATTGTTGGAGCTGGAAGCCGTTATCCTCAGCAAACTAACCCAGGAACAGAATACCAAACACGGCATGTTTTCACTTATAAGTGGGAGCTGAACAATGAGAACAATAGACACAGGGAGGGGAACAACACACACTGGGGCCTGTTGGGGGGTGGGGTGGGTGGGAGGGAGAGCATCAGGAAAAATAGCTGATGCATGCTGGGTTAATAGGTGATGGGTTGATAGGCGCAGCAAATCACCATGGCACACGTTTACCTATATAACAAACCTGCACATCCTGTACCTGTACCCAAGAACTTAAAAAAAATTAAAATTAAAAAAAGACCTCAATCTCTTTTACAACAGCTGCAAAAAAGCAAACAAACAAACAAACTTAGGAATATATTTAACCAAGGAGGCAAAATATCTCTACAAAGGAAACTACAAAATACTGCTGAAAGAAATCATAGATGAAATAAACAAATAAAAACAATCCCATGCTTATGAATGGGTAGAATCAATATTGTGAAAATGACCACACTTCCCAAAGCAATCTACAGATTTAATACAATTCCCATCAAAATATCATCAACATTTTCCACAGAACTAGAAAAAACAATTCTACAATACATATGAAACCAAAAAAGTGCCCAAACAACAAAAGTAATACTAAGAAATAAGAACAAATCTGGAGGCATCACATTATTTGGCTTCAAATTATATTACAAGGCTATAGTCACCAAAACAGCATGGTACTTGTATAAAAATAGCATGTAGACCAATGGAACAGAATAGAGAACCCAGCAATAAAGCCAGGTACTTGCAGCCAATTGATCTACAAAGCATACAAAAACATAAATTGGGAAAATGACATCCACTTCAAAATGGTTCTGGGAAAACTGGCTAACCACATGTAGAAGAATGAAACTGGATTCCTCATCTGTCACCTTATAACAAAATCAACTCAAGATGAATCAAATACTTAAATCTAAGACCTAAAACCATAAAACTCTAGAAGATAACATTGGAAAACCTCTTTCAGACATTGACTTATTCAAAAAATTCATAACTAAGACCCCAAAAGAAAATGCAACAAAAACAAAAATAAATAAATGGGACCTCATTAGCTTCCACATAGCAAAAGAAATAATCGACAGAGGAAATAGACAACCCACAAGGTGGGACAAAATATTCACAAACTATGCATCTGACAAAAGATTAATATCCAAAATCTACAAGGAACTCAAACAAATTGTCAAGAAAAAAACAATTTCATCAAAAAGTGGACAAAGGACATAAATAAGCAATCCTTAAAAGACAATATACACATAAAAATAGCTCAACATCATTACTAATTATCAGGAAAATGCAAATTAAAACCACAGTGAGATACCATCTTACTCCTGCAAGAATTGCCATAATTAAAAAGTAAAAAAATAAATATTGACATAGATGTCATGGAAAGGGAACACTTTTACACTGCTGGTTGGAATGTAAACTAATACAACCTCTACAGAAAACAGTATGGAGAGTCCTTAAAGAACTAAAAGTAGAACTACCATTCAATTCAGCAGTCCCACTACTGGGTATGTACCCAAAGAAAAAGAAGTCATTATATGAAAAAGACACATGCACATGTTTATAGCAGCTCAATTTCCAATTGCAAAAATATGGAATTAACCTAAGTGCCCATTGAACAACAAGTGAATAAAGAAAATGTGGTGTATATACACACACACACACACACACACACACACACACACCATGGAATACTACTCAGCCATAAAAAAGAAAAAAAAGTCTTTGCAGCAACTTGGATGGAGCTGCAATCCATTATTCTAAGTGAAATAACTCAGGAATGGAAAAGGAAATATTATTTGTTCTCACTCATAAGTGGGAGTTAAGCTATGAGGATGCAAAGGTGTAAGAATGATATAATGGACTTTGGGAACTCGGGGGGAAGGGTACGAAAGGGGTAAGAGATAAAAGGCTACACATTTGGTACAGTGTAAACTGCTCAGGTGACAGGTGCACCAAAATCTCAGAAATTACCACTAAGAAACTGATCCGTGCAGCCAAAAACCAGCCGTACCTCAAAAACTACTGAAATAAAAAATAAAAATGTAGCATTTTTATATGCCAACAGCTAACAATCTGAAAAAGAAATCAAGAAAATAATCCTGGGCAAGGCGTGGTGGCTGACACCTGTAATCCCAGCACTTTGGGAGGCCAAGGCTGGCAGATCTTCTGAGGTCAGGAGTTCAAGACCAGCCTGGCCAACATGGTGAAACCCCGTCTCTACTAAAAAAAATACAAAAAATTAGCCAGGCATGGTGGTGAATGCTTGTAATCCCAGCTACTCAGGAGGCTGAGGCAGGAAAACCACTTGAACCCAGGAGGCAGATGTTGCAGTCAGTCAAGATCATGCCACTGCACTCCAGCCTGGGCAACAAGAGTAAAACTCCCTAAAAAAAAAAAAAAAGAAAGAAAGAAAGAAAATAATCCTATTTGCAATAGCTATAAATAAAATTAAATATTAAGGAATTAACTTAAGCAAAGAAGTGAAAGATCTCTGCAATAAAAATGATAAGACATTGATGCAAGAAATTGAAGAAGACACAAAAATAGAAAGATATTCCATGTTCATGGATTAGAAGAATTAATATTGTTAAAATGTCCCTACTACCCAAAGCAATCTATAGATTCAATGCAATGCCTGTCAAATTACCCATGACATTCTTTGCAGAAATAGAAAAAACAACCCTAAAATTTATATGGAACCACAAAATACCACAAATATCCAAAGTTATCCTAAGTAAAAACAAACAAAAAACCAAACAAACAAAACAACTGGAGTAATCACATTACTTGACTTCCAATTATACTGCAAAGCTATAGTAACCAAAATGACATGGTACTGACATAAAGACAGACACATAGACCAGTAGAATGGAATAGAGAATCCAGAAATAAATCCATACATATACAATGAGCTCATTTTTGACAAAAGTGTCAAGAACCTATATTGGGGAAAGACAGTCTCTTCAGTAAATGGATCTGGGAAATAGGATATCCATATGCAGATGAGTGAAACTGGACCCCTATCTCTTCCTGTAATAAAAAATCAAATCAAAATGTATTAAAGACTTAAATATAAGATATCGAACTATGAAAATACTAAAAGAAAAAATTGGGGAACCTCTCCAGGACAGTGGAGTAGGTAAACATTTCTTGAGTAATACCCTACAAGCACAGGCAGCCAAAGCAAAAGTGAACAAATGGGATTAGGTAAAAAACCTTCTGCAAAGCAAAGACAATAATTTTAAAAATAAAGAGGCAATCCACAGAATGGAAGAAAATATTTGCAAACTACTCATCTGACAAGAAATTCAAACCAGAATGTATAGAACTCAAACAACTCTATAGGTAAAAATTTAATAATCTGATTGAAAAATGGGGAAAAGATCTGAATAGACATTTCTCAAAAGAAGACATAGAAATGACAGGCAGGTATACGAAAAGGTGTTCAACACCACTGATCATCAGAGAAATGCAAATCAAACCTACAATGAGATATCATCTCACCCTAGTTAAAACGGCTTTTACCCAAAAGTCAGGCAATAATGCATGCTGAGGAGAATGTGGAGAAAAAAGAACTCTTGTCCACTGTAAAGGGAATTTAAATTAGTACAACCACTATGGAGAACATTAGGAGGTTCCTAAAAAAACTAAAAGTAAAACTACCATACAATCCAGCAATCCTACTCTTAGGTATATACCCAAAAGAAAGGAAATTAGTATATCAAAGAAATATCTGCACTCCCATGTTTATTGCAGCACTATTCACAATAACCAAGATTTTTAAGCAATGTAAGTGTTCATTCATCCAGCAGATGAATGGTGATATGGTTTGGCTGTGTCCTCACTCAAATTTCATCTTGAATTGTAGCTTCCATAATCCTCACAGGTCTTAGGAGGGACCTGGTGGGAGGTTCCAGGGGTGGGGTTTTCCCATGCTGTTCTCATGATAGTGAATAAGTCTCATGAGATCTGATGGTTTTATAAAGGATTGTTCCCCTGCTCATGCTCTCTTGCCTTCCTCCATGTAATAGGTGCCTTTGCTCCTCCTTTGCCTTCCGCCATGATTGGGATGCCTCCTCAGCCATGTAGAACTGTGAGTCCATTAAACTTCTTTTTCTTTATAAATTACCCTGTCTCAGGTATTTCTTCGTAACAGCATGAAAATGGGCTAATACAGTAAATTGGTACTGGTAGAGTGGGGTACTGCTCTTAAGACACCTGAAAATGTGGAAGCGACTTGGAACTGGGTAGCAGGCAGAAGTTTGAACAGTTTGGAAGGCACAGAAGAAGATGGAAAGACGTGGGAAAGTTTGGAACTTCCTAGAGACTTGTTAAATGGCTTTGACCAAAATGCTGGTAGTGATAGGGACAATAAAGTCCAGGCTGAGGTGGTCTCAGATGGAAATGAGGAACTTGTTGAGAACTAGAGCAAAGGTGACTCTTGATATGCTTTAGCAAAGAAATTGACAGTATTTTGCACCTGCCCTAGAGATCTGTGGAACTTTGAACTTAAGAGAGATAATTTAGGGTATCTGGTGGAAGAAATTTCTAAGTGGCAAAGCATTCAATAGGAAGCATAGCACAGAAGTTTGGAAAATTTGCAGCCTGAAAATGCAGTGGAAAAGAAAACCCCATTTCCTGGGGAGAAATTCAAGCCTGCTGAAGAAATTTGCATAAGTAACAAGGAGCCGAATGTTAATCCCCAAGACAATGGGGGAAATGTCTCCAGGGCGTGTCAGAGACCTTTGCAGCAGCCCCCCCCATCAGAGGACCAGAGGCCTAGGAGGAAAACATGGTTTCATGGGCCAGGCCCAGGGCCCCCCTGCAATGTGCAGCCTAGTGACTTGGTGTCCTGCGTCCCGGCTTCTCTAGTCATGGCTAAAAGGGACCAAGGTACAGCTTGGGCTGTGGCTTCAGAGGGTGCAAGCCCCAAACCTTGGCAGCTCCCATGTGGTGTTGAGCCTGCAGGTGCACAGAAATCAAGAATGGAGGTTTGGGAACTTCTGTCTAGATTTCAGAGGTTGTATGTAAACACCTGGATGTCCAGGCAAAAGCTTGCCACAGGGGAGGAGCACTCATGGAGAACTTCTACTAGGGCAGTGTGGAAGAGAAATGTGGGGTGGGAACCCCCACACAGAATTCCCACTGGGGCACTGCCTAGTGGAACTGTGAAAACAGGGCTACTCTCCTCCAGACCCTAGAATGGTAGATCCGCTGACAGCTTGCACTGTGCGCCTGGAAAATCTGCAGAGACGAAAGCAGACAGAGGGGGGATATACCCTGCAAAGCCACAGGGGCAGAGCTGCCAAAGTCTGTGGGAGCCAAACTCTTGTATCAGTATGACCTGAATGTGAGACATAGAGTCAAAGGAGGTCATTTTGGAGCTTTAAGATTTGACTGCCCCATTGGATTTCAGACTTGCAAGGGGACTGTAGCCCCTTCGTTTTGGTGAATTTCTCCCATTTGGAATGGCTGTATTTACCCACTGCCTGTACCCCCATTGTACCTAGGAAGTAACTTGCTTTTGATTTTACAGGCTTATACGCAGAAAGTATTTGTCTTGTCTCAGATGAGACTTTGAACTGCGGACTTTTGAGTTAATGCTGAAACAAGTTAAGGCTTTGGGGAACTGTTGGGAAGGCATGATTGATTTTGACATGTGAGGACATAATATTTGGGAGGGGCCAGGGGTGGAATGATATGGTTTGATTGTGTCCTCACCCAAATCTCATACTGAATTCTAGCTTCCATAATCCCCACATGGTGTGGGAGGGACCCAGTGGGAGGTAATTCAATCATGTAGGCAGGTATTTCCCATGCTGTTCTCAAGATAGTGAATAAGTCTCACGAGATTTGATGGTTTTACACAGAGCAGCTCTCCTGCACATGATCTCTTGCCAGCTGCCATGTAAGACATGCCTTTGCTCCTCCTTCACCTTCTGCCATGATTATAAGGCCTTCCCAGCCATGTGGAACTGTGAGTGCATTAAACCTCTTTTTCTTTGTAAATTACTAAGTCTTGGGTATTTCTTCATAACAGTATAAAAATGAACTAATACAAATGGATAAAGAAAATGTGGTACATATACACAATGGAGTACTATTCAGCCATTAAAAAGAATGAGATCCTGTCATTTGCAACATCATAAGTGAAACTGGAAGTCATTATGTTAAGTGAAATAAGCCATGCACAGAAAGACAAAATTTACATGTTCTCAGTTACTTGTGGGAACTAAAAATGAAAACTGTTGAACTCATGGAGATAAAGAGTATAATGATGGTTACCAGAGGCTGGGAAGGGAAGTGAGGGGGTGATGAGAAGTTGAGGATGGTTAATGGGTACAAAAAGATAGCTAGCAAAAATGAATAATATCTAGTATGCTAACACAACAGGGTCACTACAGTCAAAAATAATTTAATTGTAAAATTTAAAATAACGAAAAAGTATAATTAAATTGTTTGTAACACAAAGGATAAAATACTTAACACGATAGGTATCATTTACTCTGATGCGATTATTATGTATTGCATGCCTGTATTGAAACAACTCATGTAACCTTTAAATATGTGTGCCTTCTATGTACCCACAAAAATTAAACATAAAAAAAGACAAAAAGTAACAAATGCTGGTGAGGAAGCTGAGAAAGGGGAGCACTCGTAAAATGTTTCTAAAATAGCACTGCCATTTTGAAAAATAATATGGAGGTTCCTCAAAAAACTAAAAATGGAGCTACCATATGATCTATCAATCCCACTACCGAGTATATATCCAAAAGAAAGGAAATCAATATATTGTAGAGGTATCTGTGTTGCAGCACAACACAATAGCGAAGCTATGGAATCAACCTAAGTGTTCATCAATGGGTGAGTGGATAAAGAAAATGTCATATATAAACACATTATTCAGCCCTAAACCAGAATGAAAATCTGTCTTTTGCAGCAACATAGATGGAACTGGAGGACATTATATTAAGTGAAATAAGCCTGGCAAAGAAAGACAAATATCATATGTTCTCACCCATATGCGGGAGCTACAAATGTGGATTTCACAGAGATGGAGATAGAGAGTATAATGGTGATTATCAGAGGCTGAGAAGGGAAGGGAGAGAAAAGGATGAAGAAAACTTGGTTAAGTGATACAACAACACAGTTATAGAGAAGGAATAAGTTCTACTATTTGAACTACTATACGAGGGAAATTATTAATAATAATTTATTGTATATCTCAAAATAGAAGAGAAGAACTGTAATCTTTCTAACATGAAGACAAGATAAATGTTTGAGGTGATGGATATCTCAATTACCCTGATTTGATCATTATACATTGTAAACAGTTACCACAATAACACATGTATCCCCAAAATATGTACAATGATTATATATCAATTTTAAAAAATGGAATTATATGCATGAGAATATATTAATACATATTTTATCAGTATCAAGACCTAGAGAGTTTGTGCGTGTGTCTGTGTGTGTGAAAGGTGTCTGTGCTTCTGGTTAAATCTATCATATGTTACTTTTGCTAGAATAAACTTTTGATAGATTTAGCCTGAGAAATGTTGCTGGCTATTATAATTCTCTTCTCAACAACAGGAACCAAAATATGAATGCAGAATCTTAGATTGTATCCCCGTGGAAACGAAATGTGAGATGCTTTTGAAGCAGACTAGAGAGGTTTGCACTGTTCTGTTATAATTAATGCCTTTCCTTGTCTGTGGATTAAGAGGTGTTTATTGCCCTCTGCTCCAAGCTGGCATCCTCTCTGATGAATTCACTTTGAACTTTAAAACAAAGAGATTTTTCGAAGTGTAGACTTTAAAGAGATGATAGTTTCTAAGAGGGTAACCAGTGTGATGAGAGAAATATTTCCATTCATTATGTAGGTTTTTGTTTTACCCTGTGGGACTAGGAAAGGGAAATGAACTGTTTCACAGAAAGATCAGTGAAATACATCTCAGTAGTAAATGAAAGGTTGAATTTTATAATCCCAAATTAATTGATACTGATAATAAAAAATCTCAAAATCAATATTGACATTTAAAGTAATTTAAACCATGAGTAATATCAATACCATCATATGGGTAATTTGAAAAAACTAAAAACTCACCACTTTGGTAATTTTTCTGTATGCATTGACAGAACTATATAAGAGGCCCTGGTGGGCCTGGTGACAGTTAAATCAGGAAATCCATAAGATATTTTAAGAGATGCTATCTCAATAGGAACCATGTCCCAGTACCCCTCATTATGGGGTTCCTTAATCTGATGGTTTCTTCTCGTCAGTTCCAGTGTCTCTTCTTGACAATGACTAATGAAACATTTTAAACTCGTAACTTTTAGACAGGCACTGAGTCCACAATGTGACATAAACTGTATAGGGTTCACAAAAAGTTAAAGGAAGCTTAAACTGAAATCACCAGTGTAGTTAAGCTTTAGCAAGAAAACTCTTCTATTGATGTATCCATCCTGGCAGAAGTCATAAAAGTTCTGAAATCACAGAAATGAAGGGAAACAGAGAAGCCAGGTAGTGAATTGGATACAGTATTTGAGACCCATTTTATGCATGTGTGGGAAGGAGCCAAGACTGACAGAACTGCCATTTTCAGCTGAGAGCTCAGCCAGGGCAATGCTGAAGATTTTGCCAAAACAGAAACCTGGAAAGCAGGTGAGAGAGCAGGAGGTAGAGAAACTGGGTTATCTAAGTTAATTAGGTAGACTGCATCTCTTTCCGGCCTGGGGCTGCCTGTAATAGACCAGCTGGATGTGTGGCATTGGAAAGTGCTGACTAGTTAGTACCTGAATAACAGCCTACTGCTGAGACTGTATACATGATTGAGTCCAAAAATGCTTCTGAGGCAATTCTTCCTGCATTTATCTTTTGGTTTGCCTTGTTCTCTGCCAATGACTTTACTTTTAAGGTCCATATGCCATACTCATCTGGTTGCTTCCTCAAATCTAGATAACTGGAAACTTTTTAAAATAGGAATTTGAAGCTATCTGTCTAATAAGCAAGTATTGAAAAGAGTGGAAGCTAACTGAAGCCCAACAAAAAACACCTGGAATATGAGATACTATTGTGACTTGTGGGAACAGCAGTGTTTTGATTGAGTGAAGACTCTGAAACAGGCAGATCCTGAAAGGTGGGTGGAGTGAGCATCAAGGCAAACTCCCTGCTATTTTGTTTTCTTCAAGACATCACTGCTTAATGGTTCATGAAATCACTCAGTAAAAAGGGTAGAAAGTCTATCCAGGGTAAGTAGTCATCCAGGAATGGTTCCTACTGCATGGATTTGCAGTTTAGAATATCGGATTAGGAAAGCAATTTTATTCATTACGGTGTGTATTAAGAACAATGGAAAAGGAAGAGGGAAGTGAAAAAGAATGAATGAAATCTGAAAAACAGCACTGGAGTCAGGCTGCGTTCTTGGAAATACATTTCTCCAAATATACTGGGTCTGCATTTCCTTTTGGTGCACCTCGACTGCTTCCATTTCTCATAATGATGTCCCCATGCCCTGCTGGTCTGGTGGCTTCCTGGTATTGCAGCTCATCCCCTCATGTCTATCATACGGAGTGGCTAAGAGTATGAACTCTGGGGCTAGACTGTATTTTCAACTCTACCAGTTACTAACTTCAGGCAAGTTATGTAACTGTGTTGTGCCTCTTTTACCTAGTATGTAAAGTAGGGATAACAAAAGTAATTACTTTAGAGGCTATCCATACAAATGGAGATTGTGCCTGGCACTTGTAAACATGATAAAAGTACTACCTGCTATTATTACTAATTGCCGTAAGTGTCTAGCTGTCTGCAATTGCTCAATGTTCAGTTTTGAAACTACGAAATCTTTCTGCCTTAACATTATCAACTGCAATTCACTGATAGATGTACTCATACATTCGTTTTTTCATTCACTCAAAAAACATGTTTTAGATACCTGCAATGTGTCAGAAACTACAGCAATGTCTAAAACATAGTTCCTATTGTCAGGTACCTGAGAGAGACAGAGAGAGAGAGACAGAGAGAGAACTCCACAGATATGAATCCAAAATGACTCCACAGATAATAATGATGGAAATTCAGGCCAGGATAGAGGTGTCAGATGAGACTTCCTAAAAGGAGTGACATGGGAGCTGAGTCCTGACAGCTGAGGGGGAGATATCCATGGATAAAAGGATTGAGTGGGTTGAGATGTGTGGAGAGGGCTTTCCAGGCAGAGGAAAGGGCCTGGAGATGAGAGAGTAGAGCACATTAGAGAAACTGAGAGTAATTTGATGAGATGCACATATAAAGTAAGGGGAGGGTGGTGGTGAGAGATGAAGTGAAGAAGAAAGGGTGAGATCTTGAAGTGCCAGTTTTACTGTACTACAGAACTTGGAATTTATCTTTATAACCATGGGGAGCTCAACATATTTTAAATGGTAGGATGTCATGATCAGATTTGTGTCTAAGAAGTCATTCTGGTGCCATTATGAAGGATATTGTATTAGAGGTGAGTAAGACCAGAGAGGGGAAAGTGAGTTAAGAGGCAGTAGTCTGGGAGAGACTTAGTGACTGAAACTGTGATGGGGGAGTGGAACTCAATATAAGCAAATGGATTGGAGAGATATTAAGAAGGTAGAATCAGCCTTTTTGACGGCTCTGTTTTTATTCCTTGTCTATTTGCTACTGTGTAACTCTCTGCAGTGTTGAAAAAAATGGGATGTGTCTTTTTCTTCAGTATATCTCCTCTAATGTCTTCTTCAAAAGGCCTCCTATGAAACAATGCCTTTTGTGTCTACATGGGCAAATTTCATATATTTGCATGAATTTGGGTGGGAAAAAATGCCTTTCAAACACAGTGTTCAGTAGAAGATTCTATTATTCAGAGTATTTCTTTTGGTTATTATTTGCTATCTCACACCATCAACTCTCCCCCTGGTTACTACAGTAGGTTTCAAGCTTTTTTATTTTTATTTTTAAAATAAACCCACTGGTTACAGATCATTCTTTTTGCCTGCAGCATTATGTAAGGCTTTCTGGATATTAGTTTTATGCTCACTCATGCTAGAAAATATCCTTGAGTCTGAGCCAGTGTCTCTGATGACACTTCAACAACAAGGTCAGTGATTAGCAAACATTTGGGTTTTTAAGAATCCTCTGAGGAGCTGGATCGATAAAAGATTCCTAAGCCCCACCTTCAGATACTCTGATTTGGTAGGTGTGGGGTAGGGCCTAGAATCTTCATTTTTAAAAGTGCTCTAGGTAATTCTGAAATGAATCACCCACTAAAATGCTACGTAGTAATTTTTCTAAATTTGATTGTTTATTGTTTATCTGATTTCTCAAATAGAACTTGAGCGAAATCTTTTGCAGTAAACAATAAATAAATTGCCATTATTATAGTATATTCCTTTTACTATTTTCATAAGCTGTAATCAGTTTAAAATAATGACAGTATGGAGCTTCTTAGATGAATGGTAAGGTATTTGAGGATGTTGAAAACGACCTTTCATGGCATTTAGAAATTAGAATATCCTGATTATAGGGTAAGGAGCAGTTGTATGTTGCTGTGAGACACTGTGCACATTCTATGGTCAGGAAGTATCAGCATCACCTGAGAAGCTGTTAGAAATGCAGATTCTTAGCTTCACCTGAACTACTGAATTAGATATTTGTGGGTGCAGTCCAGCAATCTGTGTTTTAACTAGCCCTCCAGGTGATTCTGACGCTCATGAAAGTGGTCTAGTGCAGTTATGTCTCCACATGGAAATGATATATTTGAGCTTCTAAAGTCTAGAAATGTATCTTTTAACTGTGGAGATGTTGCATCACTTGTTTCTGTAGTGTAAATTCACATGCTAAAGCATGTATTAATTGGGATTTGGCTCAGCCTGAAGTGACCACAAAACAAAATAACCATGGATTTAAAAGGGAGAGAAAGATTTATTGCTTTAAAAAATACTTTCAACTTTTATTTTAAATTCAGATGTTACACGTGCAGGTTTCTTACATGGATATATTGCATGATGCTAAAGTTTGGGATACAAATGATCCCGTCACCCAGGTAATGAGTGTAGTATCCAAACGGTAGTTTTTAACTCATTCCTCCCTCCCTTTCTCTCCCCTTTAGTAGTATGCACTGTCCATTGCTTCCATCTTTATATTCATGTGTAGTCAATGTTTAGCTCCCACTTATGAGTGAGAACATGTGGTATTTGGTTTTCTGCTCCTGCATTGATTTGCTTAGGATAATGGCCTCCAGCTGCATGCCATGATGCTGCAAAAGACATCATGTCACTCTTTTTATGGCTGTGTAGTATTCTATGTTGTATATGTACCACATTTTCTTTGTCCAAACCACCATTGATGGGCACCTAGGTTGATTCCTATTGCAAATAATGGGATAAATATACAAGTTCATGTGTCTTTTGGGGGAGATTTATTTTCCTTTGAGTATATACCCAATAATGGCATTGCTGGGTTGAATAGTAGCTCCATTTTAGGCACGTTGAGAAATCTTCATACTTCTTTCCACAGTGGGTGAAGTATTTACATTCCTACGGTGTATAAATACTCCCGTTTCTCTACAGCCTCACCAGCATTTGTTATTATTATTATTATTTTTTACATAATAAAATAATATTTTATTATGTAAAATATTTACTATGTAAAATATTTTCTGACTGGTATGAAATGATATCTCTTTGTGTGTTTTTGTTTGTTTGTTTTTTGAGATGGAGTTTTGCTCTTGTTGCCCAGGCTGGATGCAATGGCACTATCTCGGCTCACTGTAACCTTCACCTCCACCTCTGCCTTAAGCCTCCCAGGTTCAAGCCATTCTCCTGCCTCAGCCTCCTGAGTAGCCTGGATTACAGGTGTGTGTCAAGATGCCCGGCTATTTTTTTTTTTTTTTGTATTTTTAGTAGAGGTGGGGTTTCACCATGTTGGCCAGGCTGGTCTTGAACTCCTGACCTCAGGTGAAACACCTGACTCGGCCTCAAAAAGTGCTGGGATTATGGGACTCATTGTAGATTTGATTTGCATTTCTTTTATATTATAGATGTTGAGCGTTTTTTCATGTTTGTTCGCTGCTTGTATGTCTTCTTTTGAAAAGTGTTCGTTTGTTTTTTCTTGTTGATTAGTTTAATTTTCTTACAGATTGTAGACATTAAACATTTGTCAGATGCATAGTTGGCGAATATTTTCTCCCATTCTATGGGTTGTAGGTTGTCTGTTTACTCTGTTGATAGTTTCTTTTGTTGTGCAAGAGCTCTTTAGTTTAATTAGGTCCCACTTGTCATTTTTTGTTTTTGTTGCAATTGCTTTTGAGGACTTGGTCATAAATTCTTTGCCAAGGCCAATGTCCAGAATGGTATTTCCTTGGTTTTCTTCTAGGATTTTTATAGGTTGGGGTTTGCATTTAAATCTTTAGTCCATCTTGAGTTAATTTTTGTATATGGTAAAAGGTAGGGGTCCAGTTTCATTCTTCTGCATACGGCTAGCCAGCTATTCCAGCACCATTTGTTACATAGGGAGTCCTTTTCCCACTGCTTATTTTTGTCAACTTTCTTGAAGATCAGATGGCTGTAAGTGGGCAACTTTATTTCTGGGTTCTCTAATCTTTTCCATTGGTCTATGTGTCTGTTTCTGTACCAGAGACATGCTGTTTTTGTTATTGTAGCCTTATAGTCCAGTTTGAAGTTAGGTAATATGATGCCTCATGGTTTTTTCTTTTTGTTTAGGATGACTTTGGCTATTCAGGCTCTTTCTTTTGGTTCCATGTGAACTTTAGAATAGGTTTTTTTTCTAATTCTGTGAAAAATGCCCTTGGTAGTTTGATAGGAATAACACTGAATTTGTAGATTGCTTTGGGCAGTATGGCCATTTTAATGATATTAATTCTTCCAATTCATGAGCATGGCATTTTTTTCCATTTGTTTGTGTCACCTCTGACTTCTTTCAGTAGTGTTTTGTAGTTCTCCTTGTAGAGATCTTTCGCCTCCTTGGTTAGATGTATTCTTGGGTATTTTATTTTTTTCTGTGGCTATTGTGAATGGGATTGCATTTTCAATTTGACTCTCAGCTTGAATGTTATTAGTGTATAGAAATGCTACTGATTTTTGTACATTGATCTTGTATCCTGAGATTTTTCCAAAGTCATTTATCAGATCTAGGAGCCTTTTGGCTGGACTTTAGGATTTTCTGGCTATAGAATCACACTGTCAGTGAAGAGAGATAATTTCACTTCTTCTTTTCCTATTTTGACACCTTTTATTTATTTCTCTTGCCTGATTGCTCTGGCTAGGACTTCCTAGATGTCTTTCTGACCATATAAGTCTAGGAAAAGCAATACAGGACTGGTTTGACTCTCCACAATGTTAGAGACACAGGCTCTTTTCATTTTAGTGCTCAGTTTTACAAACACTGTTTTCTCAAAATCACCCATGATCTCGAAAGGCAGCTCTGGCTGGAGCACATATGTCTACATTCCTGTCAGCAGAGAAGGAGAAAGAGAAGGGGATGGACACTTTCTAGATGCACACAACACCTCCACTTTAATTCCATTGTCCAGAAGCAAGCTATTGCACATTTTTAGCTTCATAGAAGGTTGTATTGATTCTGAGATGTGATATGCCCGGTTAAAATTCAAGAGTTTTATTATTGAAAAATAATAGGAAAAAAAAATCTGGGGCATGAGGAGTGTATTGGTTGTTTCTTGCAAAGTGGGAGTATACACTCATCTGGGAAGTGTATATTTCTGACACATTTTTCTTTCTCCTGCTCTTCCTCCTCTTTTTCCTCCTCCTTCCTTCCTTCTGTTTAATATAACTCTTTATTCATGCTTTCTGATTCTCCTTTACAGATGTTAATCTTGTTCTTTAGTTATTCTTAGTGATTTAGGGGAGGAAAAGGATGCTTAATCCTACAGAAGATATAATGATAATTCTTGTTGCCTATGTCTCCATCTCCATCTGTCTCTCTCTATGAATGTGTACATAATGTTTTCATGCAAACTTTTGTTTCTCTTAAGTGTCGTTATTTGTGTATGTTACGTTCATGAAATATAAAAAAATTCTCATTTTTAAAATAATGCTTCTAATGGTCCAGTTTCTCAGAGTTTATGAGTTGTCATGTCAAAGAATGATTCCAGAACCTTTAGGGAAATATCGAATTTACATGATAATATCAATGACTTATTTTAGACAGGTTTAAATAATTTGCTCCTCATTTTTTCCAGCTTAATATTTCCTGACATTTGAACTAGACAATGGCTGAATACAAATGTTTTTTGTGCTCTTTAGTGGAGACACCTACTGTAAAATGATTATTAAAAAACCTATGAATCATCTCTTTCTCTAAAATATTCAGTTCTTTAAGCTGATTGCTATTAGCTGCTCATATTATTTTAATTAGAAAAAAACATGGCTGCTGAAAATCAGCCAAAGGTTCTATAAATAAAAGTATCCATCTCACAGAGTCGAATTTTAATTAACCTTTTAGCATGCCAACTTTTCCACTAGAATTTTTTAGGGCTTGCAGCCGTTCTTTTTGTTCAAAAGCCATATGGGCTATTTTTCATCTGTATGTAATTTAAACCTATAAGAGTGCTCCTGGAATACAAACTCACTGTTCATCAGCTGTCACTTTAATACCTTTATTTAAGTGAAAAGATATCCAAGTGCAATACAGTTGGTGTGATAGTGAGGAGAAGACACAAGATAGAATAAAATAACTGTCTCTTCTTTTTTCCCATTTTGCTCCCTTTTCGAGACACCATTTGTATCCTGACCTGCTTTAGGCATGTTAGGTTTCCTAGCAATAGATTACGTGTGAATAAAGCAACACCAGGCTGTAATTACTGGGAATCAGACTGTCCACTTTTTACCTCTAGTCATTATCCACATGAAAGGTATTTTCATAAACTATTTCTTGGAAAATCCATATTTGACATAAATAAGCATTCTCTGCCAATTGATTTTGTATGTTGCTGTAACTGTGTCTGTGGAAGAAATGCCAGATCAAAGTACAGAAGATGGCTGGACCTGAATTCACTTCAGTCTCTGGTTACTAGAAAAATCAGTTTTCAGGAAAATGTTCCTAATTGTTATGCAGTCAATGAAAGCCATCAAACACAACCATGAAAACCACTTTCAGAATCTGTGCTTGATAAGCCAAAAGTCCTAATATTAACTTAGTTTCTATGGTCATATTCAAAATTAATGTGATATGTTTTCTATTTAAAATATGCAACTCTCAAAATTCTGTGTGTATTACAGTAATCAGGCATCAGCTACATTAAATTTACTAAACTTACTAAAAGAACCAAATGATAATATGCTCCAGTTTGCAAATAATACCCTAGGTCTACAGTGACTGATTTAGTGAATGTAGTTTTAAGTGGAAAACATAAAGCTCTTAATGGTTGACCATTGAATGCTTAAAACTGCACATTGCACTGTCTCAAAGTTTCCACTTTTCTGATGACCAGTTTTCTGTCTTTTGGTCATGTCCCTTCCTGAAACTCAGTTCTTTAAAGAAAAATGCTTTTTAATCTGTACATACACCAGTATATAAATGTTAGTTAGTGCTATTGGGCAGGACAGAAAATTAGGTAATCAGGCAAATGGTTAAAACCAAGAGTGTAGTAAGTATAGAACTTTGTGATAAAGACAACATAAGACTGTAGGATGTTGGATCAGAGACAGAAAAGGATAGTTGTGGATCTGGAATGGGCAAACCGTAGAGACAGGGTGGTAGGCAGCTTCTGATGTGGCTCCAAATTTCTGCTTTCCTCCAGCTTCTACAAATGCTCTTCCTCTCCGTCACCCTAAGCATGCTAGGGTGACAGCTCTGAAATGGCGCCCAGTGGGCTCCACTGCTTGGTATTCAAACCCTTGTGTAATCCCCTCTTCTTAAGTGTTAACTGGATTTAATGCCTTGTGTCTGGTGAATACAATACACTAAAATTAATTGGATATAATTTCTGTGATGTGATTACAAAAGCCAGTGATTCCATCTTGCTAGCACGCTCTCACTTGCTGGCACTCTTTTTCTTTATAGCTTGCTCACTTTCCTGAAGCAAGCTGCCATGTTCTGTTCCAAAATGCTTTTTAGAGGGGTCCACATATTAAAAACTGAGGCAGACCTCGGCCAACAGCTCATGAGGAACTGAGCTTTGAGTCCAGCAGCTACAAAGAAATGAATCCTGCCAGCAATCACACGATGAGCATCAAAAAGGACCCTTCCCAGCTGAGCCTGGGAGCTAAGCCATGCCTAGACTCGTGACCCACAGAAACGTTGAGATAATTGATATTGTTGTTTTAAGCCGCCAAGTTTGGGATAATTTTTACACAGCAATGATAAATAATACAGAAAGATTGAAACATCTATAAACCCCCACGATGAGGAGGGAAAGCGGGAACAGGGTTGGAGGGTGAAAGGGAACGCTCATATCAGCATACAGTTAGAGATCAATAACCAAAGACACAGATCAGGGAGGGAAGAAGGGAAAGAGAGTGAAGAAGAGAAAGAGGGAGAGAGGGGAGCATAGAGACCAATCTCACTCAAAGGTCAGTGTTTAAGACTTTTCTATGGGGAAAAGTATTTTCTATGCTCTAAGGGGAGCATAGAGACTAATCTCACTCAAAGGTCAGGACAAGGACAACATGGACACCGTTTAAAATTAGGGCAAAAGGGTTGTACCACAGCACAACCAGAGTAGGGCCTTGCTAGCAGAGTGCAACATACTGCAAGATTCCCTGCTCCTCCTCACTGGTGACCACAGTCCAGAGGAATCACATTTAAAGGAGTATAATCCATTATACTCCTGGTAGCTCTCTTGATAAGATCTTTGGTTACGAAACTTGCAATATTTATACTGTTTGATATAGTTAGGATATTTGTCCTTACCCAAATTTCACATTGGGTGGGGCCTGGTGGGAGGTGTTAGGGTCATGGGGGTGAATCTCTCATGGTTTGGTGCTGTCTTTGCAATAGTGAGTGAGTTATTGTGAAATCTGGTTGTTTAAAAGTGTATGGCACTTCCTCTGCCCCCAACACTCTCTTGCTCTTGTTTTCACCATTTGATGTGCCTCCTCCCGCATCACCTTCCGCAATGAATGAAAGCTCCTTGAGGCCTCCCCAGAAGCAGATGCCAGAAAAAAGGTTTAATTGGCTCATGCTTCTACAGCCTGCAAAACCATGAGCCAATTAAACC
Organism: Homo sapiens; assembly: GCF_000001405.40. NCBI lineage: Eukaryota > Metazoa > Chordata > Mammalia > Primates > Hominidae > Homo > Homo sapiens. The sequence continues at coordinate 96,410,991 of NC_000006.12, read as the reverse complement.
CTTTTTATTATAAAATACCCAGTCTCATATATCTCTTTATAACAATGCAAGAATGGCCTAACACATTGTTGCAGGACAAATAGAACTCAGACTTGTGAATCACAAATTGTGCACCCTGTATCTATGTCCTATTGTTTTATATTTCATATTCAATTATAGCATTGCCTTTTTCCTCTGATTCATGCAGATGTTACAGAATGATGTGAATTGCATGTGTCTGTGTCTGTATGTGTAATATAATCTGAAGAAAGTACACTGCAATGTGCTATCTGAAATCACTACAGCTGTGCCTGCTGAGATGCCTCTCACTCACCAAGCTTGGTGTTTGCAGAGTATGTCACTCAGAAAAAAAAGCATGTGTTTCTAGACATCTATGGCTTGACTAATAATAGCAAAGAGCTTTCTGCAGTTCTCATCCAACTTGGGGTCCAGATAATTCTCACAATTCCATCGGGGACTTTGAGAGAACTGTTTCAGGAATATAGTGAGTGATAACCTTAGATCTCAGATATAAAAATTCCCCTTAGGTCTTCTGAATTTGAGTTTAGCCAGGAAGGCTTGCTTTAGCAGTTTGTGCTTCAGTCCACTGAATAAGAAGCTACATCTGACTGGTAGGCTCTCAGCACACCCCACTTCTTGTGCCTCTCAGATTTTCCAAAACACATTTGGTTAGAGTGTTGGTGGAAATGACACCTATAATCAGGATTAGAGTCTGTTATTCTTTCTCCCAGCTAGTTTTCTGTGCCACCTGAAGAGGAGGAAATGACCAAGATATCCCTGTTGATACCCTGCTGGACCTACCTACCCATCGGGTGGAGCTGAACCATACTTAGTGCCGTATGCTCTAAGTTTTAGCATTTTCTCAATATTTATTCTAGTTCTGCTTTGCTCACATATCTCTACAGTCAATAGGTTAATTGAATCCTGCTCTTTCAGAGGCTGACTCACCAGCATTGACAGTTGGGGTTCCAAGTGTCCCACTTCAAGTGCACCTTTCTGGGGCCTTTGGCACCATAGCGTCCTCCCCGTATTTAAATTTTGGCGCTAAAATGGACATCCTCTGAAAACTTGCTGTGGTTTTAAAGCATCTCTCTTGATCTGCTCTTTGAAGAGAGATTCTTCTCTCCTATGGGAAGGTAGGGAACAGGAACAGACAATTTCTTCATGTCATTATAGATCCAAACCCTAATTGTAGGCATATGAAGATATGTTTACTATTACAAACATATATAGACATGTTTATTATAGGTATATGAAGATATGTTTTAAAATTATTTTTGAATATCAATCTCAAACATATCTATAAAATTTTCCTAATGGATAAAAATTTATCTCATACCACCCTTCTTTTCTATTCTTTTCAATACAACTCTATCACTTTTTATTTTCTACTTTGATGACCTTGTAATTTTAACAGGCTTAAAACTGTCTTTATCTGTCACTGAAAGATAGATTATTTTTCTTTTTTACTATCATAGATGAGCTATTATTATTATTATTATTATTATTATTATTATTGTGTGTGTGTGTGCGTGTGTGTGTGACCAGAGTTTTGTTATTACTCAAATGAGTCTTCCTAGGCAGTTGGGGATCAGAGTTTTTAAAGATAATTTGGTGGATGAGGGAATACCAGTGAATCAAGAGTGCTGACTGGTTGGGCTGGAGATGAAATCATAGGAAGTGGAAGCTCTCCTCTGGCACTGAGTCAGTTCCTGGGTGGGTGACCACAATATCAGATGAGCCAGTTTATCAATCTAGATGGTGGCAGCTGATCCATCAAGTGCAGTGTAAATAGTTTCCAAGTTCTGGAGAAATCAGGTAGAGAAACAAATATGCTCCAAATTTTGTTCACAGACGTATATTTTACTCAATTGTTAAAAGTTGTAAATAGCTCAAAAGAAAAGTTTTCTTGACTCTGGAAAACAAAAAGGATCAGCAATGTTTTAAGCAAAATATTCAAAAAATATTACTTCAGTTTTCTATTAGTTCAGTCCATTCAGCTAAATCCTGTTCTGCTTGATATTCATGAACATTTCAGCTCTTCATAGGAGTCCTGTAAGTTTTTTTCCTTTATTCTAATGTCATAATCTCCAAAGTTATCAGAAACTTCCATTCAAAAACACCTGTAAAAGTTTAATAGCTGATTATAAGACCACCATTTGAAGAGGGTCACAATAAAACAATTGCCTATGAATGACAAAAAGCCTTAGGGCAGCCACAGTTAAAGACACAATAAGAAAATTTGTTACTTCTGTGGCACACAATAATTTAGCATAACAATTATAATGATTGCTGATAACATATACTAAATCATATCAGAATTATAGGAGTTTCACATAATTTTGGAACATATACCAATAATACATTTACACAAATATAGTCCAAAGAAAGCCAAACACCTTTCATATTTGGCAATGCTTCCTGTATGATTTCTGTACCAAATAAGCCAAATGTCATTTTTGGACTTTAGAGGACCTAATATTGAACAGATTAGCTTAGAAATAGACATAATTTATAATTTGATTTTGGAAAGTTTGTCAAATAGCAAAAGTTTAAGACACTGGATATTACAAAATAGAATCTCAGGTCACCATAAGTCATTCATTTGGCCAAAATGATAACCCAAAAATTTTTTAAAAAGAAAAACCTTTACTCTGATAGAGGACTTAACTTTCCAAACAACAAGACCTGATGACAATAGTATGAGGCCAACTGAATCTGTCTCTTCTCTCTCTCCTTTTCCCATTTTTTGTAGCTTACTTAAAAGGCAAACAAAAATATTTCATTGTCTTTCAATGTTACATAAAAATCTTTTTCAAAAGGAAAAACCAAATTCCATGTTTGCAATAGTGCATCTTTAGTAATAATGCTAGTTTTTAATAAAATTTTATAAATATATCCAGTTTTAGTTTGACCATAATATAAGATTTTCATAAACTCTTTAGAATCCTTTACAATTTTCCATTAAACAGCAGAAACAAACCCTGTTCCTTAGAAAATTGATGGATCCAGACACACGGGCCCAGATTCTGGCCCCACATCAGCATGATTTTAATGTTTTAACAAATGGAGAAAAGCTAAATAATATCCTTCAAATCTTAGCCAAGTTGTTTATACCCACAGAACTTTTTTTTTTTTTACAAGATCAACCCGTTACAAATCCTTTTCAACTTGCTTCAACCTTCAGTTTTGTCCCATTATTCTTTTAGGTTAAGAGAATCTATAAAAACTCTCTGAACTAGACAAAATTACATTATCTTTAACAAAAACCATATTCCCATACCTTCTTATAATCTCCCACCAAGATTACATTCTGCTTTCCTTCTGTACCTTGCAACCTTATACATAAAATGGTTTCTCCAGTAGTCTCAATTACATGTTAGAATGTTTACTCTTAGCATCCTTTATTTTTGATGAAAAACCTGATAAGTAAGTGATTTTAATTATGTATTAGGTGTGGAGCCTAGGACATCAGACAGAAGTGTCTGATTTTTTGTAGCATGGCTAGGGGGCATGGCTCTCCATATGTCCCCAGGCCTTATCTATAATCTAATGCATGCTCCAAGGTAGATACATTGAACAATTTTCAAAAGTCAAAGAAGCAATTTATGACCTTGAAGCATTTAGAACATCTGATATCTAACCTTAAATTTAGACCGAATGTCTACATTTTGAAGACATTTTTATTTTACCAATGATCTTTAAAACTGTCTTTATTTCCAAAAGATTATTAAAGTCATGTGAAAAAAGGCATTAAAGTTTCTATTAGTCAGACAAAATATTTGATTTAAATGTTTATTTTTCTAAGCCAATTAATCAGAGCTTTTAAAATATAAACATCACACATACAACATATATAAATACATAGACAGACAGACAGAAGATTCAGCACTTGTAAGATTTTTTATTTGCCAGTTTCTTAATTGGATTACTAGTTTCAGGGTGGAGCCCTTGGAGGAGCAGGGCCAGGAATATATGCAGTTTCTAGGGCCTAATAAGCAGGTACACCTGGAAGGCAAAGACAGATCCCCAAAATTAAGTGTGCCATTTTATACTGAATCCTGGATCCCCCCAAAGAAGGGAAATACTATGGGAGAAGATAGTGCAATGCTTCTATCATACATTTAATTGCGAGGCAACCCAAAGACAATCAGCCCATTTTGTAATCAGCCCATCCCCCATGGGAGTCTCATCTCTCAGTGGGGTTTGGGGATGTTTCTGTATCTTCCAGGTGGTCAAGAGCATGCTTCTCTGATCCAAGCATGCAAAGATCCAAGTATCTCTTTATAACTGACACTAGCCATTTTTTAGAGTATATGTTTTTTTTACCTAGCTATTACACACCAAGGCTAAAGCTCTCCCATAATGCAAAGTAATTTTTGATACTCCCCAAAGTAAAAAAAAAAAATCAGATAATGCAGTGCAAAACAGAACAGAGCCTTAGATTTTGAGAGGGACCTATTTTTGTTTCTAATTCCTGGGGTTCCATGAAGAAAACAGGTTTTGTAGTTGTTGTTGTTTTTCCCCAGAATGGGGTCTGTGTAGACTCCTCTGCTTTTGGCCAGAAGTCCCCAAGCTGTTAGAATTTATCATAGGTTCTCTCATGTTTACATCAAGAGTGGCAAGATGACAAAATGGAGAAAAACAATTCAGTCCACTGAGAAGAAAATTTTTTTCAGGAAAACACGATTCAAGAAGATAAAAAAAGATAAAGCCCTCTTAAATACATGTAGCTTGGATATCTGTTTTTAATTAAGCTGATTTTAACCATAGAGTTCTGATATGGTTTTGCTATGTACCCACCCAAATCTCATCTTGAATTGTAGCTCCCATAATTCCCATGTGTCATGGGAGGGCTGTGGTGGGAGGTAATTGAATCATGGAGGTGGGTCTTTCCCATGCTGTTCTCATGATAGTGAATAAGTCTTATGAGATCTGATGGTTTTATAAAAGAAGAGTTCCCTACACATGCTCTCTTGCCTGCTGCCATGTAAGACGTGACCTTGCTCCTCTTTTGCCATCTGCCATGATTGTGAGGCCTCCCCAGCCATGTGGAACTGTGAGTCAATTAAACCTTTTTTAACCCATAAATTATCCAGTATCAGGTATATCTTTTTAGCAGTGTGAGAATAAACTAATACAAGCTTTTTAAAAAAAAAAATCCTTTTAAATCTCTTATTACCAGACTCTAGTTAGGACAGAGAGTCAATATTTCTGGCTTTTTAACTTTACCACAGATAACCTCCCATGCGAAATGAGTAGGTTTTAACAAAGGCTATGACTTAACGCTGGATGCATAAACTGTCTCAAATAGATGGTAAGCAGTTTTTTTTTCTTTACAAAAATTAGAATATCCCCAAAGGTAGTTCAGAGGGAGGAAAACCCAAGACAGGAAATCAGAAGCTATTAATGGCGGGGGTGGGCGAGGGGAACACTCAATAAATGGCAAAGTTACATAAACAACCAGAGGCTACTGAGCTGTTTAGCTACTGAGCTAGACAGCATTGAGCAGTTTCTATTGCTATTCCCAGAAGAGCAGCCAATTTCAAGCTTGCAAAGACTCTTAAGTGCTCAAGATAATTTTTAGGGTTAATTGTGACATGTGTCCTAAAATTCCTGTCCTCTGGATGGGAGAAATCAAGAGATAGTATCCCTACATGGTTACAAGGTTAAGCTCTTAAGGACACAAAACAAGACAGAAAAATTTCATTTGGTATTGGTTTCAGGGACCTGCAGCAACATAACAAACCAGAAAGGAATTATTCTGGAAGCTAGGACTTTAACCCAGCCTACCATTGTCAAAAGACAAAGCCTTAGCTACTGAGCTAGACAGCATTGAGCAGTTTCTATTGCTATTCCCAGAAGAGCAGCCAATTTCAAGCTTGCAAAGACTCTTAAGTGCTCAAGATAATTTTTAGGGTTAATTGTGACATGTGTCCTAAAATTCCTGTCCTCTGGATGGGAGAAATCAAGAGATAGTATCCCTACATGGTTACAAGGTTAAGCTCTTAAGGACACAAAACAAGACAGAAAAATTTCATTTGGTATTGGTTTCAGGGACCTGCAGCAAAGTTTGTAACTGACCAGTTTGCTGGGCTGGCTTGAAAAGCAGGCTTATAGAGGTCCTAAACCCTCATTCTATCCTGGGATAACCCTCTCTCCATTACAGAAAGACAAATTTTTAGCACAAAGTGCACTAGATTTGCTACAGCCTAAAACTAGTCTCACAAATTTTGTTTTCTATTAATCATATCCTTGCGGAGGAGACGAACAGTGACATTTACCATTTACACACGCACACACACACACACACACACACACACACAGAGAGAGAGACAGAGAAAGAGAGAGAGAGAGAGAGAGAGAGAGAGAGAGAGAGAGAGACCAGAAACTTGGGTGGTAAGAATTTCTTACCCTTTTTGCTGGCATTCCAGATTTCCAGGTTCCCTTTCTCTGCAGCTCCCAGAAGAACAGATGACCCTGCTTGCTGTGCCAGAGCTATGGGGGTCAAGCCACATTACAAAAGAAAATTATCCTTTTCTGTTTCATGGAACCATAGGCAAGAGATTCTTAATTTTGCAAGATGCTGCCCAAAGGGCTGCATGGGGAACCAAATTAACATTTTCCATCCAAGCAAAATACACATAACAAAACAGACACTAGTCACTTTGTTCAGCACCCAGTATTCAACTTCACAAAGCTTGGACTTTCTCCCATTAATCCCTGTTGTCTTTGATCCACTCCATGTGGGTAGGGATGGCCTCCAAACAGTAATTCACAATGGATGGTCTCTGGCCAAGGCGAAGATCAGATAGTCATCCCAAGAACTTCCTTGGCATGTTGAGCTTTCTTCAGGGCTCACTGAATGTAACCATACAAGTAAGGAGGGTCTCTGAGTTAGGGGTGCTGGACTTTTGTCAGCAATTCCTTCTTATATCCCCCCCGCATATACAAACACACACAAAGATGAGATGTACAGAAGGCCTTCTGAATCAAGATCCCTAACTAAGAATTCCAAGAGAATCCCTTCCAAACTATACTCCTATTGTTCATCTAATAAATCTCCCTAAAATCTTCCTGATTGAAGAGAAGTCTCCCAAAGCAAGAGTCTTCCTATTACTTAGGGAGATCCAAGTTGGACCCAACAAAGGAGCCAAACTGAGACAGAAACACCATGGTGGAGCTACAAACAGACACCCCACCATGGGTCTACAGAACAAGTCAGGAGAAGAAAGGAGACATTGATAGCACCTAGAATGCTCACCAACCCAGACACCCTGCAATGGGACTACAGACAGATATAATGTGATAGGCCTACAGTTAAGGGATGTCTCCCCAGGAATACTTTTCTATTGCAATTAAATCCATCCACATTGGGTCAGCAGTGCCCCACCAGTAGAGAGAGTACCAGAATTATCTCCCAGTCCAAGAGAACTAGGCAGCCACTTGAGCTGGCCTCTGGATACATCACCAGAGAGAGGCTACCACATCACAGGTAGGTAGCCACAAGGGCAATCCTGGACAAGCCTCCGAATCTGTAACTGCCCAGTGGGTTCACCTTGACCGCTGCCTAGACAGAGCCTATTTATCAAGACAGGGGAATTTCAGTAGAGAAAGAGTAATTCATGCAGGGCTAGCTGTGCAGGAGATTGGACTTTTATTATTACTCAAATCAGCTTCCTATTATTTAAGTTGTAAGAAAACAGTTGATTTGCAAGATTCTGGCACTAAGGCCTGTATGGAATGTTTTTTCTATTCTGTACACCTTCCTAGCAGCTAAGAAAGGGAGAAAAATTTTGTGACTCTTTGCATATCTAAAAGTATCTTTATTGCATTCTCATTTGTAAATGAGAAAATTCTGGGTTAAAAATCATTTTCTCCTGAATCAGCCAGTGCTGTTGATGAAAAGCCCAGTATTGTTCTGATTTTCCTTCTTTGGATGTGACACCTCTCTCCTTCTTCCTTAATTGTTTGGGTTTGTCTCTTTAACATAGTGCTCTGAAATGTCATGACAATATGCTTTGTTTTGGATATTTAAAAAATTAAATGTGCTGGTACGTTTTGAGTTCTTTCAATTTGGAAATGTGTACTCTAGTTCTGAAAAAGTCTCTTTTTAAAAGATATCTTTATCTCCATGACTTCCCTTCTATTCTCTTTATAGAATTCAGATTAATTAGTTATTTGAGCACTTGGTTTTATGCTCTCAGTCCTTAGCTTTTATCTCACATTTTTTATCTTCTTGACATTTTGTTTACTTCCAAGCTTCTGTAGAGATCTTTGTTTCAACTATGTTATTTTAACTACTAAGAATTCTTCCTTATAAATATCATCCATTTTTATTGATGCAAAAACTTCCATCTCCCTGATGTGTTCATTTGCATTTTGGTTTTAATTTTGAAATGCTCTTGCATTTCCTGCATTATCTTTCCTCTGGATTTATTTTCTTGGTTTGCTTACTGACTTCTCCCTTTCTCATTTAACACTGAAGCGCTCACATTTTGACTGGAAGTTCTGTGATTGCCAGTACTTGCAAATAGTACTCCTTACTCTTGTAAAATTGGTCTGAATAATGGCTGATCACACAGGCTCCAAATGTCAGTATAGGGAGGCATTGTTTAATTTTTTCAGAAAAAATAGATTCTACAGTCTTCTACCACTGGCTTTTAGTAATTTGTGCAGGGTGGGGTAGAGGTATTGGGATCAGTCTGTTTTGCAGAGTAGCTCAATAATTACTCTCATTTTCAATTGTGTGCTTCATTCTTACTCTACTGTGTGCCTTGTTTTAGTCCATTCTCACACTTCTGTAAAGACATACCTGAGGTTGGGTAATTTATAAAGAAAGGAGCTTTAATCAGCTCATGGTTCTGTGCACTGTACAGGCTCTGCTTCTGGGGAGCCCTCAGGAAACTTACAATCATGCCAGAAGGACAAAGGGGAAGTAAGCACATCTTCACATGGCCAGCAGGAGAGAGAGAGAGAAGGGGGAGGTGCTACACACTTTCAAACAACCATATCTCATGAGAATTCTATCACAAGAACAGCAAGGGAGATGTCTGCTCCTATGATTCAATCACCTTCCACCAGACCCTTCCTCCAACACCAGGAATTACAATTTGATGAGATTTTGATGGGGACAGTGAGCCAAACCATATCATGCTTCATATACCAATGATGTTGAATTTCAATCTGTCATGCATCTTCTTCCTCTACTCACCCCGTTCCAATACACACTCACACCTGTTTTCTTCTCTAGTTTTCTGCCCTTCTGTGCATCAAATGCTGCTAAGCCATGGGCTTGGCTAGGGTTCTATAGGGGCTGGTAGTGGAAGCCTGCTCATTTTTTGTTAGCATCCTTCTCTGCATGCCACTAGCCTGGAGTTGTATCTGTCAACATGTTTTTGCTGCACTATTGTCTCGTTTTCTGAGATATATTATTTCTTAATCTCTGAGTGGATAAACGTGTTCAATATGGTATTTTTAACTTGAACATTTATAATATAAAATAATCTATATTTATGAATATCATCTATTGAGCACTTATGTGCCAGACACTGTGCTAAGGACTTTATGCATATTAGTTCATTTAACATTCACAATTTCCATTTTAAATGAGGAATCTGAGATCAGAGAGATAAAAGATAATTATAAGTTGTCTAATAAAAACAAATTTTTAATGTAATGAGAATTAACTGCTTTGCTTTAAAAATCTTCAATCAACAATAAAAAAATAGACTTTGAATGAGAGTGTCTTTCATCCCACCAGGCACTAGCCTGAGCTAATGGCATGACAATGTATGTGTCTTGCTACAATAAGTTTATATATTAGACATTTTCTATCCTGTGAATGACAGAAAGTATTACTTCTTGCAAGTATAACAAATCTGAAGAAGAACGGATAATTTACTGTTAGAATTTTTTCAGTTACTGAGAGCATATCTGAAAGATACATTTCATTCCCAATGTGACTTTATTTTAAATACTGCCTTTAAGGGTTGAATTTTAATTAGGATTTATTAGTGGCTAAAGAAAATTATGTAACATCACATAAAGGCTATGAACCACAATATATAAATAGAAGACAAAATACCCTGGCGAGGGAAAGGATGCAAGTGTCCTGGGATCCCACACCCAGCAAACTCAGTCCCTTTTCTTCTCAAACAAAAAGAATCTTGATCTCCTTAAACAGAATGCTTAAACCCCATGCACTTAATAAAAGACAGTGCTCAAAATGTTGCATGCATTTTGAGTCTTCAGAATAGCTCTAGGCTTACAAATATACAGCCACCTTAGAAAAATTTTCTTTATCATTCATAAAAAATGAATCAAGATATTTCACCAACAATAAAATATTTTTCCCCTAAGGCAAAAGAATAATCAGTCCTATTCTTGCTTCCCTACCCTTATTCTTGCAATCAAACAAGATAGAACCAGGTTATCACATGCTGTGAGATGAAGGCATGTATTACCTTCGGGACTTTTCCTAGTCAGGTAAAGAGGAGCTTTTTTCCATGCTATGTTTAGAAACAGTCCCCGAAAGATCATGGAGCCAAAAATATTATAATCCAGTACTATTCTTTTTTTACTCACTAATCCCCTGTGTATGGCTTTTTTTTTGGGTGTTGGTGGGATGGGGATCTGACTTTTATTTATGTATTTGTAACTTTTTTTTTTTTTTTTTGAGATGGAGCCTGGCGCTGTCCCCCAGGCTGGAGTGCAGTGGTGCGATCTCGAATCACTGCAACCTCCACCTCCCGGATTCAAGCGATTCTCCTGCCTCAGCCTCCTGAGTAGCTGGGATTACAGGCATGCGCCACCATGCCCGGCTAATTTTCTTTTTTTGTTGTTGTATTTTTAGTAGAGACAGGCTTTCACCATGTTGGTCAGGCTGGTCTCAATCTCCTAACCTCGTGATCTGCCCGCCTTGGGCTCCCAAAGTGCTGGAATTACAGGCATGAGCCACCATGCCTGGCCTATTTTGATATACTTTCAAAGTTACAGAAAAGGTTCAAGAATAGCCCAAGGAACTAGGAATACCCATGTAACCTATATTCAGACTCACCAATTGTTTACATTTTTCACACTTTTTCTCTATGTACTTGCAAATTATTTTTTCTTAATCATTTGAAAGTAAATTGGAGACATCATGAATTTTTACTCCTAAATAATTTACTGTGTGTTTCCTAATAACCTGTTAATTATCTTATGTATTGACAGTATAATTATCAAAATTAGGACATTTCCTTGTTTTGTCCCCATTCAAAATCAAAACCAAGAGCATAGATTGCATTTATTTTTCAAGTCTCTTTGGTATCCTTTAACTCAGAACAGATCCTCAGTCATACTTAGTCTTTTGGCTTTAAATTTCTGAGAGTATAGATCAGTTATTTCATAGAATGTCCCTCAATTGATCTGCTGTTTCATCATTGTTAGTTTCAGGTTATGGATTTTTGTCAGCAATTCCACTGAAGTGATATTTTATCCTTCTCAGTGGCCCATACTGGAGTGCACATGATTCAGACTGCACTAATATTATTAGTTTTGATCACTCAAAACTAATGAAGTGGTGTCCATGAGGTTTCTCCATGGTGGTAGAACCATTATTTTCCCTTCCTAATTATTAGGTACTTGTGGAGAGATACTTTGAGGCTACATAAATATCCTCTTCATTAAACTTTTATCTACTAAATGTGATATCCACACATTGATTTCTAACTCCATCATTTTTTGTTCATTTTTCTTATCATTTGCATTCCACCTTAAGGAGTGCACTCCCCTTCTCCCATTTATTTATATATTCATCTATTTCTTTATGTCAACATAGAGTTATGGATTCTTTTTCTTTTTAAAGAATGTTTTTTTCCTTCATTGGGCACTAATAGGCCAATAGAGAGATACAATGATATAGGTAAATGTAAGCTTGTTTCTTATAAGATTCATCATTAACTGTTTTTTTTCAGTCAATGGAAGCATTTGAGAAAAAAACACCTTTCAAAGTGAAACTGTATTATGTTACTGGAACATTTGTTAAAAATCTATTAACCTCTAAGAAGCCAAGAACAGAAATTCAGCAATAAAAGGTAAACGTAAGTATGCTTTTTTTTTTTAAAAAAAAAATAGATTTGTTGGGGGGACATGTGCTGGTTTGTTAGATGGATATATTGTGTAAGGCTGGGGTTTAGGCTTCTACTGAACGTATCACCAAAATAATGAAGATAGTACCCAATAGTTAGTTTTTCAACCCTTGACCCTTTCCTTTCCCATTTTGGAGTCTCCATTGTCTATTGTTTCCATTTTCATGTCCGTTTGTACCCATCATTTAGCTACCATTTATAAGTAAAAACATGTGACAATTGATTTTCTGTTTCTGTGTTAATTCACTTAGAATAACAGCTTCCAGCTGCATCCATGTTGCTGCAAAGGACATCATTTCATTCTTTTTAATGACTGCATAGTATTCCATGGTGTTGATGTACCACATTTCCTTTATCTAGTCCACTAGTGATGGGAACCTAGGTTGATTCCATGTCTATGTTATTGCAAATAGCGTTGTGACATACTAGTTCAGGTGTGTTTTTGGTAGAAGGATTTCCTTTCCCATGGATATATACTGAGTAGTGGGATTGCTGGGTTTGAATAGCAGTTCTATTTTTAGTTCTCTGAGAAATCTCCATTCTGCTTTCCGTAGAGGCTAAACTAGTTTACATTTCTACCAATTGTGTATGAGCATTCCTTTTTCTCCACATTCTCATTTGCATCTGTTATGTTTTTGACTTTTTTTTATAATAGTCATTCTGACTGGTGTGAAATGGCACATCACTGTGATTTTAATTTGCATTTCTCTGATGATTAGTGAGGTTGAGCATTTTTTCTGTTTGCCTATTTATGTGTTCTTTTTTTTTTTTTTTTTTTTTTTTTGAGATGGAGTCTCGCTCTGTTACCCGGGCTGGAGTGTGGTGGCGTGATCTCTGCTCACTGCAAGCAAGCTCCGCCTCCGGGGTTCACGCCATTCTCCTGCCTCAGCCTCCCGAGTAGCTGGGACTACAGGTGCCTGCCACCATGCCTGGCTAATTTTTTGTATTTTTTGAGTAGTGTCTGTTCATGTCCTCTGTGCACTTTTTAATGAGGTTGTCTTTTTTCTTGTTGATTTGTTTTAGTCTCTTGTGGATTCTGGATATTAGTCCTTTCTCAGAGGCATAGTGTGCAAATATTTTCTACCATTCTGTAGGTTATCTGTTTACTCTGTTGATAGTTTCTTTTGCTGGGCAGATATCTTTACTTTAATTAAGTCCTAATTGTCAATGTTTTTTTTTATTGCAGTTGCTTTTAAGGTCTTAGCTTTAAATTCTTTGCCCAGGTCAAAATCCAGAATTTTATTCATCAGGTAATAATCCGGTGAATATCACAAGGTAATAATCTATTACAATCAATATTTATTTGCGTGGTTGAATTGTCCCAGATTTGGCCAGTGGAAGTCTTTTTAAGGTGACTCAGATATTTATTTTAAATGTCCCCTTATTCCTTACTTCCTTGCTTTCTGTCACAAGAAGAGTTTCCAAGTTTACCTTGGATTTCCCCTGGCCCAGCATTAGTATCGACTATTTTTATCTTAGGAGTTCTGGTTCCCTTTACTGGAAAATAGTCTTTAGAGACCAAGATCTGGGGAGTAGGCAGGCAATTGCTGCTGGTGTATCATTGCTTCTATGCCCTGTCAGTGAATAGGACTTGAAAATATATATGTATGTGTTTATAAATGACAAACCTCACTACAATTACCTTCAATATATTTGTTCATTTTGTCAAGCTAGACCACACAAAAGGAAGTTTCAGAATTGATAAGCTACAAAAACATACCTAATAACTAGAATTTAATATTTGTTAAAGTTTTATTTTTGAGATAAAATGCACATAAGTTAAAATGTACAGATCATAAGGATACAATTCAATGAGATCTGAAAAATGCACATACCCATGTAGCTCTTCCCTAACAAGTTAGAGAATGTATCCTTTACCAGAAAGTTTTCTAATTTCCCTTCTTAGAAATAAGAAAACTCTTCAAAACCCTAAGGAAACTACTCTTCTGATTTTTTTCACCTTACATTTGTTTTGCCTATTTAAGAACTTTATGTAACTGGAATCATGTGACACACACACACACACACACACACCATGTTTTTTTCCTCTGTCTCTTTCATGAGTATGTTTGAGATTCATATGTTGTTGCATGTATCAGTAATTTGTGCCTTTTAATGACTTAGCAGTATTCCATTGTATGAAATGTCAGTTTATTTATTCCTTGTCTTAATGATGGTTGATTAGGTTGTTTCCAATGTTAGGCTATTGTGCATAAAGCTGCTGTGAACATTTGTGTAAAAGTCTTTGTGTGAACAAATATTTTCATTTATCTCTGGGTAAATACCTAGGAGTAGAATTGCTGGGTAATATGGTAAGTGTGTGTTAACTTTATATAGAACTGCCAAACTGTTTTCCATAGTGGCTATATCACAACATTCCCATCACAACATTATAAGAGTTCCAATTCCTCTACATCCTCACTAACATTTGGTATGGCTAGTCTTTTTAATTTTAGCCATTTTAGCGAATGTGTAGTGGTAGCTCACTGTGGTTTTCACTTGAATTTTCCTAACAACTAGTGATGTTGAGCACTTTTTCATATGTTTAATAAATATTTTTCTTTATGATTTGTTTGTCTCATCAATTACTAACTTAGTGAATACTTTTTAAAACTTATGAATGGGCCTGGCATGGTGGCTCATGCCTATAATCCCAGTACTTTGAGAGACCAAAGTGGAAGGATAGCTTGAGGCCAGAAGTTTGAGACCAGCCTAGACAAGATAGTGAGACTCTATGTCTACAAAGAAAACAACAAGAATTTGGTCAAGCATGGTGGTGGCTGTCTTTGGTCCCTAGCTACTCAGGAGGATGAGGATCCCTTGAGCCTGTAATTTGAGGATGCAGTCAGCTGTGATTGGCCACTACACTGTAGCCTGGAAAAAGGAGCAAGGCCTCTTAATAAAAGTCTCTTAAAAAAAAGAATTATGAAGGTTGTTGACTTTTGTAAAATAATTTCTGCATCTACGAGATGATTTTGTCCCATTTTATGTTCAGTTAATATGATGAATTATATTAATGAATATTTTCTACAAACCAGTTTTGGGGCCTTTAAAATTATCCACATTGTTTGCTTTCTATTTTATAGTCCTCACCTCTTACTTTTTAAATTTTCTTTGCTCTACTAATTAGCTCTTTTATGGGATTCCTGAAATGGAAACAAGTTTATGGTTTTAAATTATTCTTATTTTCTAGTATTACAATTTGAAATTATAAAACTCCATCTAACTCCTGCTTTACTTACATCCCATAAATATTGATATGTTGTAAATCTGTTGCTATTCATTAGAAATAATGTCAAATTTGTAGTCATCAAATCTTTTACCCATCAAGTCAAACTATGTTGGCAACTGTAATTCATTGCTTATGTGTAAGGCTCTTAGTATATGTTTTCATGACCTGTCTTGGTCACAGTTATCAAAATGACAAAACAGAAATTTTACCTGATCCCTCAGTCCATTATTCCAAATTAATTAATGATAACTTTGTGTGTGGTTCATATTTGAAGTTGATTCTACAAATTCATTATCAATAGAATGTATACCCCCTCTGCAAACTCCACTAATGAATAGAGTTATCACTCTTTTCACATGTGTATTGCCAGATAGAGGTGGGGAGTGGTAGAAATATGCCTTTTTTATGGCTGTCAATCTTCCAAACTCCTTTTGTATTTTAAGAAATACTCCACTCCTAGAATCTTGTTGGAATCCAGAACCCCAGCTCCTAGTATACAAGCCAAAAGAGGATGAACTTTCCTTCCTCCAGGCCATGGCATTCGAGGTGTATGGGCAGGTGATATTGGCTCAGCAGATCGAATGCTTCTGCAAGAGATGTTAATTTGGGTTATGAATATAAAGCTAAAGCGACAATTTCAAATTTAGTCCAGGTTGTAGTGGACAACAGTGAATGCAATGACATCTAGTGGTTTCTGCAGTAATGCACAGTGGCAGTGGTGTCTTACAGTGCTGTGGTCAGTGGAATTAATGGCTGCTATGACCAGATTGATCTTGCAAAGTAACCTCACTTGAGGCTCTGATCCTTTTCTGCCTGTCTTTGCTTGGTTCCTGCCTGTTTGGGAAGCCTGACCTCCAATTTTCCTGAACAACTTTGAGTAGTCCTACATCCCTATAGTAAAACTCATTTCTGCTTAAATTAACCAGAATTGATTTCTTTTCTTTTAAACCAGGAACCTGATTTCTCTTCTTTGTAACAGTAACCCTAATAGTTACAAGATCAGTTACAAGGTCATAGGGACAGTTTGAGACCAATAAATGGAATTGTCAGTAAATGAAAAGATAATGTATCTCTCAGTCTCTTAACTAGGTAGCAATAGCACCAACTTTTTAATCAACTTGAAGCAGTAATCCAGGCGAGTACATCTGAGAATGGTCTAGAGTTTATTCTATTCTTAGGCACAGAATGATTAAATTTACATATGATTGCAAATGGTATGTGGTGGTATATGACTAAAGATATATTCAAATCCTTTTATACAAATTACCAATTTTCATTAGTAACATTACAGGTAGAAAAATTTTATTTCTTTCATAGGATGATATAATATTACACACATACTAAAAATTCCATCAGAGGCTGGGCGCGGTGACTCACGCCTGTAATCCCAGCACTTTGGGAGGCTGAGGGGGGTGGATCACCTGAGATCAGGAGTTTGAGACCAGCCTGGCCAACATGGCGAAACCCTGTCTCTACTAAAAATACAAAAAATTAGCCGGGTGTGGTGGCACGTGCCTGTAATCCCAGCTACTTGGGAGGCTGAGGCAAGAGAATCGCTTGAACCCGGGAGGCGGAGGTTGCAGTGAGCTGAGATCGCACCACTGCTCTCCAGCCTGGGTAACAGAGCGAGACTCTGTCTCAAAAAAAAAAAAAAAAAACCATCAGAAAATAATACTACACATTAAGAAAATATGTATATGGTTTTAAGGCAAAAATGACTCTGTTTTTTTTTAATCAACTCTCTGTGTACTATAGCTAATATAGCCAAAACATTACCCTCTTCCTCTAGTTACCAAAACGTAACTTGGCTGTGGGCTAACGGTAAGAGCTAACATTTGCTTTACTACTTGTATTTCCACATAATTTAGAATATTTTTTATTAACATTAATCACTTCTTTAACTTTTTTAGCACATTAAATATTAAGATGTAGCATTAGAATGGAAGGCTGCTTGAGCACAGGAATAGAGAGAGACACGGGTGTTGGGAAAAGCCACTAGGCACACATAACATTAAATGCTGCTCATTTTTTCTGCAGCGCTGTAGCTAGTCTCCTAAAGTCCATCTCCCAGAAAATAAGACAACTTTAAAACTTTTCAACCAGTATTAACTTAGAAGCTGATGTGCACATACTGATGCTGTTTCACACAGAATTGACCCAGATGTGGAATCAAGATCACAGCCTTGGTGGAGGAAGGGGGGCAGAAATCAGTGCTTTCAGAAAGCTCCCTAGGTAATTCTAATGTGTAGACCAGATTAAGAACCTGTGGGCTAACCCATAGCCTCAGGGGCTCACCTTCTATCTTAAATTTCTTTTCCCTAAAGGAGTTATGGTGCCAGGCTTTTAACGTAAAAGAAAATAAATTATCTTCCAGTATAATTTTGTAAATGAAGACTTCCCAAAAAATCCCATTCAATAATAGCTTATTGTGGAAACACTGGACAATTGTATAGTTACTAACAATAATAGAAGACTCCCTTGGAGAAGTCATGTGGAGAATGAAAAACATATTTACTCTTCAACTTTGGAGGTGGAGTAGGGCGATGGATAAAATATGTGTGTGTATATTTGTATATGTATATCCATTATTCATATTTCAGTAAAATACAACAGAATAAAAGAATGAGGTCAACAAAGTCCTATAGAAAGGAGTAAAAATAATTGTACTTACTGGTAGTGAATAAAACTGAAATAAATTTATATAATTTGTATAACCTGAAAAGTTTGAACATGACACATTTTTTGTTTTATATTTAGAATCTTATCTGAAGGAAAGTTCCAAAAGAACACTAAATATGTTAGATCTATGTCACCCAAATTAGAACTCAAAATTAATGCTGTGCTGAGTGACAGTGCAAGGACCGGAATCTGCCACTGTAAATGCTGACTTCAGTGCTTTGTTTCTGACTACTATGCAGCTATCTGCCCAATTTCCATGCACATTTTACTGTTTGACCTTGAAAGAGCCAGACTAATTGGGAATTACTCATTAAGGATCCATTTAAAAACTGTGTATTTTCTAGCAAAGGCTAAAATTTACACAAAGATGTATATTGCAATACTTTGCATTTTAGGAGTGGGCTGTACAAATTCTTTTGGACAACCCTCACCATTTTTTATACGAAATCCCTTCTAGGTACTGTTTACATTTCCACTAAAATAGCCAGGTAAAATTTCCAGAATAACTTCAATCCCCAGATACTTATGTAAAAACAGACTATTTTCATAGTCATTCCTTTTCAAATTCTCTTTTCCTCATGAAAACACTTTATTAGTCCTTGTATTATCAGAAAGCAAACCTAATTTAAAAATAATGGGGAGATGTAAGCAATGTCCCTAGTCTTCAGAATTTATCAATATGGAGCAAAAGATTTAAAGTGATTTCTTTTCCCCTCTATACAACGTCAGAATACCAAGCCTGCAGCCTGTTATTTTCAGGGTGGCACCCAGAGCAGGGGGAGGGGAGGAAAAAGCATCCTTAATTCCTGAGGCATTAGAAACCTCCCACCCTGCTTGGAGTGCCTTTCCAAAGTGAAGCTAGAGGAGGGTTTCTCAAGCCTCTGTTTCTCATGGGGAGCTTTGGCCTTTGCAAGGTAACTCTTTCTCTCTGATTTCCCTTTAACGAAGCAGGTGAAAGGCCGTTTGGCACCAGACGGTTCCTTTTACTCCAGCTGCCTGTGAAGAGCGCGGTTGCCAGGCAACCAAGTCTCCCGCTTGGTGCCTGTCTCACGCTAGGAAATTTGGAGGGTTTTGAGGCTGTTGTCTGTTGCAGACAACTTACACTGAAATGCCTTGAGGTTTTTAGAACTATTTTTTTGTATTGCTTACAGTAAAACTACGTTATCTTTCCCAATTTTCTCTCTTTTGGGGAAGAGAGACTATTTAGAGGGTATATGGCTATATTTCCACAGGAAAATATCCAGACCTTGACTTCAAAATCAGAAGTAATTTACATTTTAAAAGAAGAACAAATGAGCATCACAGCTGCATTTCATATGTTTCTTCCTGTCAGCTTAATTTCTTTCATTTTCTTTACCCCTTCTTTCGCTTTAAAAACTTTTTTATTTGCTTTCCTTATTTTCTTTATTCTACCCCACTTCCATGTTTCTTCTGTCTTTCTCTGTCTCCCTGTTACCAGTGATGTTAACTGCTATTCATGCATTCATTTTCAATCACTTGCTCATCCATTAGGACAATGAATTCGAAATGAATCAAGCTTCACTTTCCAACCTCACTAGCTGATGTATTTTTATTCTTACTTCTGAATTCTTTTTATTTTTGTTTTATCTTGTGGCTAGGTAGGATTACGGGGAAATAAGTGACAAAATATTCCCAATTATTTGGATTTCTCTTGTTCCTGACAGAAAACCCATTGCTTTCTGAGACTTTCAGTATGTTCATTCTTTTCATATTGTGGTCCTCTTGGCACATTCCATTAGCTTTGAAGCCATAGGTTCTTTAAGCTATTTTGGCCCCACATCAATGTAGGACATTGTCTTACATAATGTTATGAAGATATTTCATTGATATTTCATTCAATTTCAAAAGACACAAAAAAGGATACACTTCCTTTTGTTCTTTATTTCTGAGTCTGGCAATGATTCATAAAATAAATGAGAGCAAATTGGTCTGGTTATGCTTTTATTACCAGTGATGGACTGTGGAGCTGCAAGGGGAAACCACCTGGTAGTGATCAAAGAAGATAGGTTGAAATTCTCCTGGAAAGATGTACATGTAAGACAACAATGCATGACACCCTCTGGTGGACTCTTCTCCTCCCTCTAAAAAACTCGCTGATACTGATTCATCACTGCGAGGTAACAAGTAGTACACAGATCTATCTTCTCACAAAGGATTTGTTATAATATGGAAGCAGAACAATTTGACATCATTATCCGAAAATCCACTGTGGAAGATGAATTCATGTGTCAAAACTGCTAAAATGGATAATGGGCATAATTGTTAATATACTAACTGTTGTGATTTTTTAGTGAGTAAATATGTAACCATTCACACATCTTTCTGTAATTTATAAGTAAAAATCTCTCCCTTTGTGACTCAGTATTGTGATCTTCCATGCTCACTATGAAAAACATAATAGAAATATGATATGATAAAATCAGAGTGCTATACTATAGTGACAAGAAAACAGGAGGTATGGATTTTAATGTGAGTTCAACCCCTAGCTAGCTCTTTTACTTTGGGCATTCCCTTAGTCTTGGTCTCAATGCCCTCTTCTGTAAAGTTGTGAGGTTTGAGTTATTCTCTGAGATACATTCTGCTGTTAAAATTCTATTATTGAATTTGAAAACCACTAAACCTTTCAGTGAGGGAAATTTGGAAAAAGAATGGTATATTTTTTTTAGCTGATAAAGTTTTTAAGTGAAAAAAGTGTTTAAACTTCTTTGTATTTGTTAATTGAGCTATTTTTTTATTTAGACATATGAGTTCAAAATTTATAGCTGTTTTTGACACTATAGTCAGTAGGTAAAAAGCAGTTTCTGGAGGCTGCCTATGCTTGAATCTAGTTTCATCATTTACTAGTTGTAAAACATGGGAAAGTTTTTAAAATGTCTTTGTGCTCAGTTTACTCCTCTGTCAATGGGGTATAATTACAGCACCCTTCTTGAAGAGATATTATGAGGAGTAAGCAAGATGATTTGCATAACTCCTTAGCAAATGATTAAAGCATTAACATATTCTTGACACACATGAGCTTTTACAATTACTCTGGTGTCACCAGCTATCCCAGGCTATTATCATTCCATACTTTATTACTGTAATTATAGCCACCTAGTTTAAAAGTCTCTTCCTTTCAAATCTATCCTATACATTTCTTCCAGCAAAGACTGCCCCAAACACAATTGTCTTCATTGCCTTCTGATAAAAACTGTTAACAACAGACTTCAGTTATTTCCATACCCAGGAGAACTGAGTATATATTGTCCTGGCATTTAAGACTCTCATTAATATTGGTTCAATTTGTCTTTCCAGCTTCATTCCATTACCTCCTCTTATATACACGCTCTAGCTGAATGGAACTATCCAAGTATCACTGAGAACTCGCACTCTGCTTTTCTGTGTTAAGCTCTTAAGGGAAGAGACAGTGATAAGTCTTTATACCCCAGTATAAAGTCCAGGACCTGGCACACAGTAAGCATTCAATATTTTTGAAGTGAACAGTCTTTGCTTGCACTGTTTTCCTCTCAGAAGTCCTCTCTTCTTATCTTTACCTACATAACACCTATCCTTCAAGGTCCCAGCTAAATATCATGAATTACCACCATTCATAGGCTACCTACTTCCTTCATAGTATTGTCATGTATTTACCTTCTAGAATTTACATTCCACTGTGATTATAATTATTTTTGTTATCTTATGCCCTCATTTTTGACTGGTGTTGAGAGCAGTGTACTATGTCTTAATCAATTTTATTTCCTACAATGCCTAGCATTTTTCTTTGACTATGTTAATTGCCAGTGACTAGTTATTGAATGAATCAATATGATTAATAGGATCCTATTTGTTAACCATTGTTTCTTGGCCATTAAAAAAACTTCAATAGAACAAAATCCTACTTCAATAGAACAAAATCTTCACCCCTTGCCAGGCTCCTTAGTCTCTCCAAGGTCCAGCCACATCCTCTCTGCCTAACATGACTTTGGGTAGCTACTGAAGCCCTACTAGCTTTTCATTATTCCATGGACATGCCATATACATTCTTAACCATGTTCCTTTGCTGATGTTTCCTTTGCTTGAGGGCAATACTGTCTTTGTTTCAGCTATCCAAGCCTGACTTAAGGTCTCATTCCATACTTTATTACTGTAATAATAGCCAACTAGTTTTAAAGTCTCTTCCTTTCAAATCTAACCTATACACTTCTTCCAGTGAAGACTGCCCCAAACACAATTGTCTTCATTTTCTTCTCCCAAATTCATCATGGAGCACTCCTCTAGACTTCCACAGTGCTTTTTCTCTTTCATCATAGGAAAGACAAATTTAGGTTCTTAGTTTAGTACTTAATCATACAATTTAATCATACACACACCCTAGAACAATGAAACAATAAAAGTAGGAGATAATTTAAAAGGGCTTTACTACAGAAATTCTAATAATGAAATTTGAAAGGGGCTAGTTCCATATTAACCCACTCTGTAATTCCTTTCCTCCTCCTCCCTGGGTTACCTCTTATATTAGCTGTGCAGACACCATTCTTGACAACCTGTTTCTAAGATATTTAAGGAACTTTGCATTCATCTGAACCTCTTCTAGCTAATAATACAATCTTACACATGGTGTTGATTATATTTTAATTCAATAAAAACATGGTTTAAATTTGTATCCTAAATTTTCATGTGTTTTTTGTTTTTATAACTCAATTAAATATCATGTCGTTGGGGGTAGAGGTCACATTTGGAACTTCCTGTGAATTTCCCATATTAGGAAGCATAATGCTGATCACACTGTAGATTTTCAATGCATGCATGAACAGCATTCATTGTTAGGTGAACCCTACTTGGCAAAATGTTCTCCTTAAATGCATTTTATAACATTTGACACGCTAACTTCATTCAATTTTTTTCTGGTCTATTGGTTCTAAGTTACTGTCATGTTTATAGTTTTTTCCTGGTCCGTTGACTTCTAATTTACTGTCATACTTACTAGACTACTCAGTAACTAAGGCAACTAAAGCTATATCTTTGGAGATTTACACAGATACAACCTAGGGTTAGGTAAACTGGTGTGATAGGATTTGCTTTCTATAGGGCATCAGTATTGTTTTTACCTTATGCCTGAAGATAAAAATGGGAAGTATGGTAAATATTTGGTGAACGGCCTACATAAAATACATTATACTACTTATTTATAAATACCATCTAATTTTATCTTCTTGATAACCCTGTATAGTTGATGATACTAAGCTGTTCTTGTAGACATGAAAACTAAAGCTATTAGGTTGATGGAAATGTGATCGTGGTTTTCCATATTACTTAAAAAAAGTGGCCAAAACCTGAATTACTTTTGCACCAGCCTAATAATAAAGAAGTAATTTACTCAAGGCTTTATCTATAAACTTGATCTCAGGCCCATCTGATTCCAAGGTCCTTAACAAATGGGGATAAGTCCATGGATCTCCAACTTCAGTATGCAAAACAATCACTCAAGGAACTTCTCAAATACATATTACTAGGATCTACTCAAAAGATTATAATTTGTTACACTTATGATGAGACCCAAGAATCTTCATTTTAACAAACACATTAAAGCATTCATTTGGGAAACTATGAGTTAAGGTATAGTTAAGATAGTAAGAGTAATTATAACAATAACAACTGTGTAACACATGAATCAACACCATACTACCCACCATTTACTGCATCACCTTACTGTTTGTCAGACACTATGTTGTAAAGCACTTTATAACACATTTTGTCATGTAATTCTTACAACCACCTTATGAAATATATATTGTTATCATCTTTCTTTTACATGAGGAGAGAACTAGACTCATATAGGCCACACAGTTGGCAATTAGTGGGAATAGTCTGACTCTAAATGTCATGCTCACAGCTCCATTAAAGAGGCAACAAAATGAAAGATAAGCTTCTTAGCAAGGTCAATGTGAATAGGAATCAAGCAGAACTTGGGGGGTTAAATAATAAATGGAAGATGTGAAAAGTAGAGAGCTTAAATTATTATTTTGTGAGTTTTTCCAACAAATAGTAAGGGGAATAAGGGGTTATTTTAGGGACTGATATAAATTTGGTGAAGACTTTTGTTTTAATATGGAACAGTCATGAAGATGTTGAGGGGAAAGAACAATGGAGAAAGAGAGGTTGATAAGGATGAAAGAGATAAAATTAATGGGAAAATCTTAGGGAATATGGGATAAATCCATTAGCTTTGCAGAGAAGCATTTATTTTTTTCTGGGATGGAGGGAACTGGAAAGTATGAACACAGCTGTGGTTATAGGTATAGGTATTTGACTAGAGATGTAGACATGGACATTTATGTGTTGGGAGATGGAGAGTTAAAGTAGCTTCTATGTGATGAATTTTACTTTATGTGCTGAGAAAATTAATGGGGCCTTGTATTAGTCCATTTTCACACTGCTATAAATACCTGAGACTGGGTAATTTATAAAGAAAAGTGGTTTAATTGACTCACAGTTCTGCATGGCTGGAGGAGGCCTCAGGAAACTTATAAACATGGTGGAAGGGGAAGGAGGCACATTCTTTACAAGGTGGCAAGAGAGACAGTGGGCGAAGGAGGAACTTGCCAAACACATGTAAAATCAGCAAATCTCGTGAGAACTAGCTCACTATCAGGAGAACAGCATAAGGGAATCCACCCCCATTATCCAGTCACCTCCCACCAGGTTTCTCCCTCACATGGGGATTATAATTCAATATGAGATTTGGGTGGGGACACAAAGCCTAACCATATCAGACCTTCAACCAAACTGATAAAGATTTGGGATAGCTACTGAAAGGAAGAAGATACAAAGTGGACCAGAAATATGTAAAATAATTGCTATGGGGTTAAAAGCCCAGTTGAGGGGAAAGATCATGTATTGTGGGAGCATCAGTATGTATGATTGTGTGGTTTTTGTTTAGTGGTGTTCAGTACATCAGAGAAGTAGGCACCAGAGTAGGGTTCATCTTGGTTTAGGGGTTTTAGGGAAACAAATGGTGTGGACAACAGTGAAGGGTACTTGAGTGTGTTGACAATAGGCTTGTGAAATGAAAGACTCTGCTTAGGCAGCTATGGGAAGACTGTGAAGCTAGTAGAGTCTTACAGACATGGGGAAAAGAGTGATCAATATACTAGGTTTTAAAGAGCTGTTAGAGTAGTAAATGGTAAAAATAGTGAAAGAGCTGGAAGAGTGGGCAGGTGTGGATCAGAAATGGAATGAATGGGACCTAATGTATTTCAGTGTATTTGGCAGGAACCTAAAAGTAATGCAAGTTTATTTATTTATTTTTTTAGCTCCTAAAATCTAAATCTATTCTTTTTTTGAGACAGGGTCTTGCTATGTTGCCCAGACTTGTGTTGAATTCCTGGCCTCAAGTGATCCTCCCAGCTCTGGCTCCCAAAGAACTAGGATTGCAGGTGTGAGCCACCATGCCCAGTATCTAAATCTATTTTTTCTTGTACCTTTTAAGAAACCCACATTCCTAAAGGCTGAGGTCTAACTTTGACCTGATTTCTTCTTGGGCTTTATGACTGCCTAGACCTTTATTCCAAGTTTCCATCACTGTCAATCCTGCCATCAAGTACTCGTTGTTAGTCAAATTAGGACATAGAAGTATTTATTCCTCTAATTTCTGGAATAATGATTGCAGTGTGCAGACCATGCATCAGGATCACCTGGGGAGTATGTTAAACATTTACATTTCTGGACTTTACACAAGACCTATTTAATCAGAATCTCTGTTGGGGTAGATCCCAAGGAATCTATATTTTTAATATGTTCCACAGGAGATTCTGACTCACATGATTATTTTAGGAGATGGCAGTTTCAGAGAGTCAGAGCTTTTTAGATTTTTCTCCTTTAATTTACCATTCCATACTCAGTACATTGGCTCCTATTTGTGGAGCAATATGCTGTGCTAGTGGGCTTCAAGATGGAGGTGGAGATGCAAGAAAACAACTCAGTCTTGGAATTTGTACCTTTCCTAAATATCTTACACACAAGCTCCTTTTACATGCATAACATATCTCTGTCCATTATTAACAAGAACACTATACACATTTGAAAAAACAAAATGAGAGGCGAGGTCAAAGTGGAAAACTTGACAGAAAAAAACAGTAGAGATGATCGTAAGCAAAAGGTTATTTTGGGGAATGGGTGGGTGTTGAGAGTGGATAGGCGAGTAAGAGTTGCAATTCAGAAAGGGATAGAGATGTGTTGATGGTGATTACAGATGTACTGTCCTGCTTTTAGTTGAATTAGGTATCTGTTGATGTTCATATATTTGAAATCTACTGCCATAGCTACATTTTACTTTTTGGGTAGTTCTGTGATCAATTAATAATCAACGGTTTCTCTTGCCACTGAACCCTTAAGCTGTTGGATCTCTCACATAGAGAAATTTCAGTTTACACACAAGAAGGAATCTTATTTTTGGTATCCTGGTACCTAAAGGCAAATAGAACATATATTATTTTCTTCGGTATCTGCTGACAGTTTTCAAGGAACAAAGGCACAGTGCTGCATGTAAAATCTCCCTTCAGTGACACAGGCGCCAGGCTTCTGTATATTAGAGTTATGAATCATATAACAAATCAACATGCTCATGGAAGAAAACAATTTACAAAGAATTTTTATCACTTGATAATATTCTATTTGGTGATATCCCACCTAATCCAGTAGCGATGAAAATAATTTTGGGAGTATCCTTTTGAGGAGGAAATATATCTTATATACATTTTCTTTATATCTGCAAATTGTGCTTCTCTTATATTTGTATTGTTAATGATTTATTTGACTTAATATAAAAGACTGCCCCTTCACACACACACACACACACACACACACACACACATTTTCTTCCTCCATCCCCACACCCTCCTCTAACCCACTCTTCTCTTTATTTCTCTGTGTGTCTTCTAGGCTTATTGGTATATTTGGTTCTTCATGTTAGAGATCTTACAACAGAAAACATTTCTAGATTAAGAATGAAAAAACTCATCCTGGCTAACACGGTGAAACCCTGTCTCTACTAAAAACACACACACACACACAAAAAAAATTACTGGGCGTGGTGGCAGGCACCGGGGAATGGCGTGAACCCGTGAGGCGGAGTTTGCAGTGAGCCGAGATTGCACCACTGCTCTCCAGCCTGGGCGACAAAGCAAGACTCTGTCTCAAAATAAAAAAAAAGAAAAAAGAAAAAACTCAAAATTGCATAATCTTAATATGCTTTAGAATATGGACCAAACCTTTCTTTGATTAAAAAAATGACTGGCTGTCAAAAAACATGCAAACTATTTATCACTTGATAGAAATTCATGAATTAAGTTGTAATACAAACCTTTTAAGTTTCACCTCCCTGAAGTGACTCCTCATCCCCTTGTCCCTCCTGCTTCCAGTACCAGTGCTCAGATTTATGGACTGTCTGTATTCAATCTGAAATGTGTGACAATAAGAAAACATTACTATTCCATTGCTTCTGCAAGCACCACTTTACATTGTTCCTACTACATAATGAGAAAAGTTATCTTAGGTTAGGGCCAACATTTGGTCCAATATATTCACTTAATAAATTTTGTTCAACACTAGCTGTGTTATAAATGAATGTATGGCCTCTCTATTCTAAAATCTGCAATCTTGATAGTCTATCAGTTTGGCTAATGATACTCACATCCTGCCTATAAGCTGTGTCTCCTGAATTTGATTGCCTTTGGGAATCATGCCCATATCTGTGGTAATCAGTGACCTTGATCTTTTTTTCATTTTCAGATTCCAGCCTTTTATCCAACTTGATGTATTTTTATTATCCTGGTCCCAGTCTTCCCTGATCAGAATTCTGGGGCCATGAACTAAATAAACCCTGACCAGGCTGCTCTTTGTTTTGATTGCAGTACATTTGACTTGGTACTCAGTATGTTGTCCTTTACAGCACTCTAATAATCCACCTTTATTTAGAAGTAATTATTTCATGACTTGATAATGGAAATTTCTCCTAAATTGCCTATGATACTTCTCAAATCCATTATTTATATTACTGCCAAATTAATTATCCTAAAAATGTAGTTTCACTGTGATATCTTCTCTAGTAAAAAATTTTAATAACTCTACAATGCTCACAACATCAAACTGAGATTTCTTAGTTCACCATTTTATGTCTTCATACACAGTATGTTCTCTATCTAGTTACCAAGCCTCATATCTAGTTATTTTCCTACATATACAGTAGTCCCTCCTTATCTACAATTCTTCTTTCCATAGTTTCAATTACCCGCAGTCAAGCATTGTCTAAAAATATTACATAGAAGTTTCAAATTGTGGCTATCCTAAGTAGCATGATAAAATCTCACACTGTCCTGCTCTGACTCGCCTAGAACATGAACATTTGTCCAACATATTCATGCTGTATGCCCTACCCACCCATCAGTCACTTAGTAGCTGTCTCAGTTATCAGATCAGTGTTGCTATGTTTGTATTTAAATAACTCTTATTTTACTTAAAAGGGGGTCCAAAGTGCAAGAGTAGTGATGCTGGAAATTCAGATACGCCAAAGAGAAGCCATCAGCTTCTTCCTTTAAGTAAAAAGATAAAAGTTCTTGACTTAATAAGGAAAGGAAAAATATCATTTGCTGATGTTGTAAAGATCTACAGTACAATAAAATATTTTGAGAAAGAGAAAGACCATGTTCCCACAACTTTTATTTTAGTATATTGTTATAATTGTCCGATTTTATTATTAGTTATTGTTGTTAATCTCTTACTGTGCCGAATATATAAATTGAACTTTATTAAAGGTATGAAGATATAGGAAAAAAACATGGTATATATAGTTTGTTACCATCCAAATTTTCAGCCATCCACGGGGGCTCTTGGAATGTAAGCCGGGGACTAATGTGGCTTTTACTCTGGCTTTCTTAATATTGCTTGATTATAGCTTTTACCTTTTATATTTATTATATTTTCTCCCTGAAATACCCTCCCTCTCTAATTCAGTTATGAAAATCATACTCATTTTCTAAGGTTCACTCAAATCCTACTTCTTCCATGAGATTTTCCTAATTGCACTTGTGGGAAGTTATCTCTCTTCTCTGAATTCCAATAGTATTGTTTTTCTCATTTGGTGCTCATCAGATATTGCTGTAGCTATTTCAAAACATAACATATCTGCTCAAGCAGATAACAAAACTTGAAAAACAGAAACTGTTTTTATTTTTTATTTATTTTATTTATTTATTTTTTTGTATACCAAACAAAAGCTTGAGCCTAATAGGTACATGGAAAGTATTTTTAATGAACAGTAAAGACTAACACATCAAAGTACAATACCCACATGAGAGATTAAATATTACTTTTTAAGATAATGATAATATCCTGAAAGCATGAGGATGAAATTTATAGGCCTAAAAGACTGTTTTCATGATGCCCATGTAATCTCAGTAGGGTATATTTAACTTCGAAAACTATTTCCAACCAGCATACCATAAATTTTAAATAGAGTTCACAAAAGGGCATAATGAGTCACTAGATTTATATAGAAAGTGATGCTAAAGTGCCCTAGGATTAATCACTTACTAGATCTTAATCTTAGCTTTATTTTATTTGTTTAAAAAAGTAGATAATATTTGTCTAAATGGAGTCACTATTTATTCATTTATCTAAAAATATTTGTTGAACATTGATTATGTGAAAGTTATTGAACTAGGAACTGGAGATACAATGGTAAACTCTTCCCTGATCTATGCTGAATTTGGGAAAAATTAAGATTATCAATTATTATTGTCATATGAGGGGAAAAGAACATTTATATTTCAAAGACAGACAAAAGACCATGGACTATTTGGGGAAATAAATGACATGTTATCAAATTTTATAAATTCTTCCAAAAAATGTAGGCATCCACTATGTATCATGTACCATAGTGTGTGAAGGGCAGCTATTCTAGGCTTTATTATTGTTCAACAGTTTATATTCCTGTCCCCAGCAGAATGGGCAGAATATATTTCACCCTCATTGATTTTGGGCTTGTTCATGGGATTTCTTTGACTAATGAAATGTGTGAAGATGAGACAGTGTGACTATTCTTAAATGAGGCTTAAGAAGTGTCATGAGTTTCTCTTTCTTCTTGCATTATTGCCATTTGCCAAAATACCATTCCTCATGCAATCACTGTTTCTGTAGTCTTAGTCCCAGAATGAAAACTATGTGGAGACTATCTAAACTCAACCAGAAGCCTGGCGTCTTAATTAGTCAAGCCAGCTGAATGTTGGGTTGACATAAAATCTTAACAAGAAATAAATTTGTTATTCTAAGACTCCTAGAAGTTTTTTTTGTGTTACTGTAGCAAAAACGGAATCATACAGCAGTAAATGGGATATTGTGTCTGCTGGAGAAGAAAGACACTATTAAGCAGGTAATTATCAATGCTCTGTGTGTTTGGGAGAAATGGAGCATTTCTGGAAATGTGTATAGCAGGTGGACTTACATTATATTGAGCAAAAAGAAAAGCTTTCTGAGGTTCCTACTGCCTTATACAGATTAATTTATCTTCTAATAATTTTTTAGTATATTCCATACCAACTTCCATTAGGGAACAGATATTCCTTTGGGAAACTACATTTCAGGATAATCAGGTGCCATATTCAAAGCCAAAAGCAAATTCTATTTTCATTTCATGTATTAGTTCTACACAGTTATACATTATTTTGGTAAAGGACTAAAGGGATCCTTCATCAAAATTTAATGCCAATATTCCTGTAGATTCTGTATGACAGGTAACCTCTACAGGTATAGGCTTACTTTATAGTAATTGAGACTATGTCTCTCAGGTTATAGAATAAGAGATTCTTTAGCTTAGTGTAGTCTTTGAGGTGACCTGATCCAACACCTTCATCTTGCATGCGAAGCCACGGAAGCCCGTAGAGGTCAATTTACTTGCCTAAGTCCCCTGTTGGAATTCGGGGAAGTTCAGGAATGGAGTTCAGGTATTCTGATTTTTGGGTCACAATGCATGCAACATTGAAAAAAAAGTTTTCTCCAAGTTACTGGCCTTTGATGAATTTTAGAGAAAGAGTTGTCTATAAATATTGTAAGTTCATGTGGTGGTTTAACTTACATGCAAGAGGTCAATTTTAGAGGCTGAAAATTTTTATTAGCTGTGGGGCAAAAGGATCATTATACTATCGACCAATGTTTCCTACATTTACCTGCCATCCCTGGACATATTATATACTTTTATTTATGATATCTTTCACAGTTTATAATTAAACAATTATTTCTGTGATTACTCAATTAACATATATCTTTCCTTTTATACTCTAAGATGGTAGAGTAATGAGTGCAGTGCTTGACACATGGTAAGTACTGTAATTAATTTTTTTTTCTAAAACAAGTGGAATGATCATGATTCACCATACGGTGTGAAGGGTGTCCCAGGCTAATTGACCTCCTGTTGGCAAATTGTCAACAGAACATATCAATTTTTCATGGAGTCTGAAAGACATGAATTACTTACCTTCATGATATTTTTTATTAACAGATTACACAATGAATATAATATTAAATTATAGCTTTAATGATAATAAAATATAAACTGACATACAATTATTTCATTAAAATTATTTTATTTAAGAAAAAGTTGAGTGCACAATGATTCATGAAATGAAGATCTATTCAAGTGGAATGAATAGAATTACTAATAAAAGACTTCAAAATTATGTGAATGGCTAACACTTAAGATATAGCAAACTAGAAATGCAACAGTGCCTCTAATATACTATCTTAATATTAAGAAGAAATATCTGTTAGATTAGAATGGTCTCATTGCCTAATTTGTAATGCTGCATCACTGAGACATGTAAAAAATAAAGTTTTAAGGAGAGTGATAAAAGTCCCCGATACTTATTTTGCCCATTTTATTTTTTGGCATTCTAGAGCTAAAAGGATATGAGGAAAGGGAAGTCCTATGTATAACTCAATAACTGCGTTTATGGTCCTGATATATAGACATTCCAGAGCCCCAAAAGATCTTCACTCTGCTTTCTTTGTTGTTTGACCTGCTGCATTCTCCAAGAAATTACCATGGGCCATTTAAGAATAGTATGATGCCCTCTGGCCTCGAAAATTAGGGCTATGTATAGCAAAACTTGAACTAACAAGAATGCTCTATTACTGAGTAAAAATTATCCAGGTGTACCTATGATTGTGAAAGAATCATGAATTATTAGGGTTTCTGAGGAGGCCATCAACAAATATCATCCCTCTTTCTCACATTATTGTTAAATTATTTGAGCCATAAAACAAAAGAGTAAATATATGAGCCAAAATATAATCCTTATCACTGCCAGAAGTGAAGAAGCATAACGTGGCTTTAGATGCATTAGCAGAATGGGCTTGCTACCAGAATCCCAGAATTAGAAAGATTTCATCCATTTATGGAAAACTCTGGACATGGGGCAGGTATCCTCTCAACAGACTCTGGCACAACTTGTAGCATGAAAAGACAAAGGAGGGCTAATGGTCTCTGTTGGAGGCTGGCATCAAGAGAAAACAGGAAGGTGAGGAAGATTTTGTTCTTCTCACATTTCCAATCAGAAATGTCACGCCATCTTCTCAATGCCAGAAGTACATTAATTGAGCTCTGTACACACAAAGAAAATTAAAGTAGAGGAAAGTTTGCCCCAATTATGCTTGATGAAAATATTTTTAGTGGCAAGATACTAAAGTTGGATTGCATAAAGAAAATGTGGTACATATACACCATGGGATACTACATAGCCATTAAAAAGAATAAAATCATGTCCTTTGCAGCAACATAGGTGGAGCCAGAGGCCATAATCCTAAGCAAATTAATGCAGGAACAGAAAACCAAATACTGCCTTTCTCACTTACAAGTGGGAGCTAAACATTGAGCACACATGGACATAAACATGGGAAATACAGACACCGGGACCTGCTAGAGGGGTGTGGGTTGAAAAACTACCTATTGGATACTAAGCTCACTACCTGGGTGCAATATACCCATGTAACAAACCTGGAAAAACCCATATCTATAAAAGTTGAAATTTTAAAACAAAGATACTAAAGTTTCTATTAAAAAGTAGGAACAAAATTGGGTCTCACATCATCTCCTTTCAAGAACAGAAAGATCTCGGTTGCAAGTAAGAGGTAAGAAAAATTTCTGGCAAGATGTTTATTTTGATGTGGACAAAAAACTAGGTATGTTTCTATAAAAGAACACTGAATAACTGAAAATCAGTTGGAAATCATAAAAAAGGTAACTTAATGTACTTTTTAACATGAGAAATATATATAAAATGTGTTCACCTAATTTTTAGAGTTACTACTTTATCATAAAGAAATACGTGTTTATTGTAAAAATATTTAGAAAGTAGGAAATAGATAAAGGGAATATGTCTTTCTTATTCATAATTTTCAGAATCAATTTTTCTTTACATGTTCTTTGTTTCTCTACAATATTTTGTATATCTTTTGATACTAGGTCATACAGACAATGCAGTCTTAAAACTAAAAAATTCACACACATCTCAGTCTGGTTATGAAATTCCCTAAGAAAGTTTAAATGAAGAGACTTCGTGAAAGGATTCCACATGGAATTGTGGTTGGAGATCAGGAACAAATGAGGGTTGTTGGGCATCCGATGCCAGCAACCACAGGAAGTTATAGGGCCAAGAGACAAAAGAAGGACATATTGTTTTTTGGAAGCTCAGTAGGAACTGATGTGGCTAAGGAAGGGCAGCTTCATGGCAACTGTGGCTTTTTTTTTTTTTTTTTTTTTGAGACGGAGTCTTGCTCTGTGGCCCAATGTCATAACCTCGGCTCACTGCAAGCTCCGCCTTCCGGGTTTATGCCGTGCTCCTGCCTCAGCCTCCCGAGTAGCTGGGACTACAGGCGCCTGCCACCACGCTCGGCTATTTTTTTCTATTTTTTAGTAGAAACGGGGTTTCACCGTGTTAGCCAGGATGGTCGCGATCTCCTGACCTCGTGATCCGCCCGCCTCGGCCTCCCAAAATGCTGGGATTACAGGCGTGAGCCACCGCGCCCGGCCATAACTGTGGCTTTAAAGAGACACAGCTTCTGCTGGAGAAGCTGCCCAACAGCAGAGAGGGATCAGGAAAAAAATCCACTATCTCTCCCCGTTCGTACCCTTTGATCTCCTGCCAGTGACCCTCATAGGCCAAAGCCAACTGAAAGCCCAGAAGGCAGAGAAACCATAGGATGCAGCCTGCATTAGTCAGCTTGCCAGAAAACAGGTCAGAGAAGGGAATGGAAGGTACCGGATCAGGAAGGTGGGGAACAAAAGGAGAACAATTGTGCACAACTAATTAAAAATTACTTATGAGTAGATTTCTATGGCTGTGTAATAGTCCAATATAACCAGACCATCTATTACAACCACTACCTGTTGATTAAATGTTTAGATTGTATCCAATCTTTTCGCTTATAAACCACATTTTCAATGCATAGCTTTCTTCATTTCTACAATTTTCTTACAGTACATTCTTAGAGGTCGAATTATTACATTAAAATGTACAAATATTCTTAGGCTGCTTAAAACTTGCTGATAATGTTTTTAAACTGTACATATTAGCCTTCCACCAGCAGTGTAAGAGTGTGCTTATTTTACTGAACATTTTTGAGCATTGCATATTCTCATAAAAAAATTTATTCCATGAGAATTTGTCCACAAAAACAAATTTACATATTTTTTAAAAGAAACCTTTAAAGATGCATCTCTCTAATTCTGTGACAAATCTTTTTCCATATGCCTTCCTAACCTAATTGTTTCAGCATTGTGAGGTAATAGTATGTTGTTGCTGTTGCTGCTGCTGCTGCTGTGCCAGCATCATTGATTTAATAATTCTGTCTCTCCAAATACTGATTTGGGTTGCTTCCTTTATCATTTGGTGCATTATTGCATACAATGATGTGTGTTTTCTGAGCTATCTGATTTATTTCATATTTCAGTCAATTTTTGTGCAATGTGGCAGAAACAGCAGCTCTCTGCTAAGCCATTCTGTGAAATATTTTGACGATGCGATGCAACAAAAGATAGGGTCTAGGCTCCCTAAATATATTAGGAGACTCTCCATCTCCTTCTTTAGTTTTCAGCAGTTGCTGATCAACTTTAATGATAACAACAACACAAAACAAATGAAATGACAGCAGCATTCAACACCATGTGCCAGGTATTGTGAAGAAGCTACTGCAACACCTCAGACCATAGCCACAGTGCCTCTCTTCTAAGTCATGAATGAATTTTGGGGAGGATTAAGTATTTTCCTTCAATAATTTGTTGATTCTATTTTCTAAATACTTAAATTTCTCCACTTCTTTCTACTCTCATTGCCACTGCACTATTCAGGCCATCATCTCTTTTGTTAGATTAATGCAGAATTTTCTGTTCTCATCTCGTTTGATCTTTCAGTAGCCTGTTGTTTAACTTATCTGTTATTATTATTTTTTTAATTTCAGTGACTATTTTTATTTCAGGAATCTCCATTTGGTTCTTTTTCAAATACATGAGTTTTTTTCCCTCATAAAATCCTTACTCTTGATGGATTCTCTTGCTTCCTTGATCTCTCTAAATATTTTAAACCTACTTATTTTAAAAGGTCTTTTGAATCTCTTTGATCTCTGTTTCCTTAGTATGAAGTATCTCATTCTGGCTTTTGCTGTGCTTGTCTCCAGTGGGAGATTTTTCCCCAAAGACCTGGACATTCCTTGGATTTTGAAAATCCCTGTGTTGCAATTTCAATGTTACCAGGACCCTATTGGGTCACCAGTTTGCGACTATGTTTAATACTAGCTTCGTGTTCAAGGCTTCGGAACCGTATGGATATTGTGAAGTTGGGTTGCACCCTCATGCAAGATAAAGGCTTGGATCCTGTTTTGCTGAGAATTATTCTTTCTACTCATGGCCCAGGCAAGGTTTCTGTCTCTAAATCAGAGGTTGTAGCTTTTACAGTCTCCATGTGTATATAGTTTTAAAATCAGTTGAGTAAGTACCTTAGGAGAGCAATTGCTGGATTGTGTGATAAGACTGTTCATGTTTGTAAAATAATTTGTTTATCCATTTTTCTTTCCAGTAATTTGTTTATCCATCAATAAACAATTGGGTTGTTTACACTCTTTAGTTATTGTGAATAATACCACTAGGAACATACCCAGAGGTTGAACTGTTGGATCATATGTTAGTTCTATTTTTAATATTTTGAGGAACTTCCATACTGTTTTTCATTTCTTTTTCTTTTCTTCTTCTTCTTTTGTTTTTGTTTTGTTGTTGTTGTTGTTGTTGTTGAGACAGAGTCTCACTCCGTTGCCCAGGCTGGAGTGCAGTGGCACAGCTAACTTCTAACCTCCACCTCCCGGGTTCAAGCAATTTCTTGCCTCAGCCTCCCGAGTAGCTGGGACTATAGGCATGCACCTCCATGCTTGGCTAATTTTTCTTTTTTTTATTTTTAGTAGCGATGAGGTTTCACCATGTTGGCCAGGCTGGACTCAAACTCCTGACCTCGTGATCCACCGCCTTGGCCTCCCAAAGTGCTGGGATTACAGACCTGAGCCACCACACCCAGCAGGAACTTCCATACTGTTTTTCATAGTGGCGGCACCATTTTGCTTTTCTGCCAACTGTGCAGAAAGGTTCCAGATTCTCTCCATCCTCACCAATTTTCTGGGAATTTATTTCATAACAACCATCCTAATGGGTATGTGTTTATATCTCACTGTGGCTTCAATTGGCATTTCTCTAATGATTGCTGATGTTAAATATCTTTTCATGCACTTATTGGTGAATTGGTCTTGTGTATGTCTTCTTTGGAGAAATGTCTATTCAAATCCTTTACCTATTTAAAAATATCCTTTTGGTTTTTTGTTGTTGAGTTGTAGAAAATCTTTGTGTATTCTAGATATCCTTTACCAAATATATGATTTGCAGATATTTTCTCCAATTTCTTGGATTGTATTTTGCTTCTGTATGGATATTTGTATCCCCTCAGAGTTCATTTATTTAGATCCTAACTCCCAAGCTGACAGTATTAAGAGCCAAGGCCTTTGAGAGATGATCTTTGTAAGATCTTACAGATCTTAAGGGCCCTCATAAATGCTATTTGTGCTGTTATATAAGAGAACGCAGAGAGCTATCTAGCCCTTCCCATCATGTGAGGACATAGCAAGAAGTCACCATCTATGAGGAGGAAGATCTTCACCAGACCCAAATTTGCTGGCACCTTGACCTTGGGCTTCCCAGCCTTCAGAACTGTAAGAAATAAATTTGTGTTGTTTATAAGCTACTCAGTTTCTGGTATTTTGTTATAGCAGCCTGAACAGACTGTGACATCTTTTCACTCTGCAATTTGGTTCTTTTAAGCTAAAAACATTTTTACATTTTTGTGAAGTCCAATTTATCAATTTTTTCCTTTCATGGATCATGCTTTCAGTGTCCAATTAAAAACTTACCGCTAAACCAAAGGTTATGTAGATTTTCTCCTGTTTTCTTCAAGAAGTGTTCCAGTTTGCATTTTACGTTTACATTTATAATCTGTTTTTAGTTAATTTTTGTAAAAAGTATAAGGCTTGCATCTGAATTTATTGTTTTGCATATGGGTGTTCAAATGTTTCAGCCATTTGTTGAAAAATACTATTCTTTCTCCATTCAGTTCCTTTTTTATCTTTGTCAAAAATTAATTTACTATATTTGTGTGGGTCTGTTTATGGACTCTCTGTTCCATTGATCTATGTGTCCATTCTTTAGGTAATACCATATCTTGATCATCATAGATTTTAGTAAATCTTGAGACAGTGAAGTGTGAACACTACAATTTTTTTGTGCTTCTTCAGTATTATATTAGCTCTTCTAGGTCTTTTGCCTTGCTATATAAACTTTTGAATCAATTTGTTAGTATTTACAAAATAGCTTGATGGAATTTTTATTGAGATTGCATTAAATCTATATATCAAATTGGGAAGAACTGACATCTTAGCAATATTAAGTTTTCCAGTTCATGAACACAGACTATCTCTTTGTTTGGTCTCTATGCAAAGATGGAAAAATACTTGTCTAGCTCTAAGTTTTTCTTTTCCAGAAAGCTCAGTTCCAAGTCCTTTACCAGGCCTGGGCCTTATGGCCCAAAGTCTAATTCACACAGTGTATTAAAATCCATGTGTCTAAGGTATGTATAATGTCCTGTTCACTTCCTGAACCACAGCTTCTTTCAACAGACTAGATTTATTTGATTTGATTTAAGGTACTTTAGAGACTTTCTCTCTGGGTATTTAAAATGCTGTTCCTTCTCTCTGGGATCTCTGCTCTTTTCTCTATACTTATCTCTAAATCTGAGTTTAGACACCATAATCTCAGTGAGGCTTCATCTGCTTCCTGACTAGGTTGAAATTTCCTCTTTTGCACTCCCTCCATTCTAGTGCTTATAAACCAGGCAGTAGAAACAAATAATTTCAAATAAATACAAATCCTTTACTTCATTTACTAGTGTACTTTGTAAAAGGCACACAAAATCACCAACAATCCTTCTTAAAATCCTTTTTAAATTTCCTTTTTCACCCTCTGTCAACACAAACTCTATTTTTTTTCATAGCCTCTTTTCACAGAAACATGAAAAAAAATTCCTTTGAGTCCCAGGGACTATTAGCTCTATAGCCAATATCTTCTGTTCCTAGTTTTCAATATGTAATGAACTTATCTACCATTCCTTAATCCTTCTCCATTTCCTCCCCTGCCAATTTTCTGAATTCTCAGAGAAGAGCAAAAAAAAAAAATTCTGGAAAGATTCATTATTTTTGAAGGGTTAGAGAGGAGATCCTGTGTGGTCACAGCCACACTCTGCTTTTCAAGTCATGGCTCTATCTGCTTTCTTCATTTCCTATTTCTAGCACCCAGAAAAATTATCTGCAACAAGCAAGCATTCAACAAATGAATAAATGTCTGCCTTTCTTTATTTATCACACTTAAATGTAGAAATTTTCTCAAATATGTATTTCTTGGTTGAAGCTCTTATTCTGGATATTTTAGTTTTTATGCATTTAAACATAGGCACCTTTTTCTATTAAAAAATTAACAAAAATTAAGATTGGGTGTGGTGGTTCATGCCTATAATCCCAGCACTTTGAGAGGCTGGAGAGGGTGGATTGCTTAAGCCTGGGAGTTTGAGGCCAACATGGCAAAACTCCATCTCTACAGAAAATACAAAAATTAGCTGATCATGGTGGCACATCCCTGTTGTCACAGCTACTCAGGAGGCAGAAGTGGGAGGATCACTTGAGCCCAGGATAGCTTGAGGCTGCTGTGAGCTGTAATTGCACCACTGCAATCCAGCCTCGGCAATAGAGTGAGACCCGGTCTCAAATAAATAAATAAATAAATAAATAAATAAAATAAAAATAATATAGTTCATGATGTTTTGTATGCTTGTTTTCCCTGGTCCATTATTATCATATCTTGGACATCTTATTATGTCAATAAAACTAAATTACATAATTATTTTAATGACTGTATTTATTACAATTCTCATTTCCATTTAACCAATTCTTATTTTTTTGTAAGATAGGTCATTTGTAATTTTTTACTATTAATTATAAACTATGCCCTAATTCATAATTAATATGTAACTATATGTAATTTTTTGCTATTAATTATAAACCATGCTATTTTGAATGACATTTTATATGCATCTTTGTACTGTTTAAAAATTTCCTGAAGATAAATTCCTAGAAATTAAAATGTTCTCATAAAGCATAGATAAAGCATATGCAAAATTTAAATTATTATGCATTTTCCAGACTGTCCTCCAAAAAATTTATGTAAGTTCGCTCTCTCACTACCAGTACTTTGAATTTCCTTTTCTTCACACTCTTGACAACTGAAGGTATCCTCCAAAATGTCATCTTTGCCAATCTGATAAGGTGAAAAAAAGCTATCTTATTTTTAATTTTACTTGCATTTCTTTATGTGATTGGGAAATTAATATTTTTTCATGTGCTTGTTAGCTATTTGTAATTTTAGTTTTCTTAATGCACTTTAATTTCTATTTGATGTTCATCACTTTCTCACTAATTTTTAAGAATCTTAAAAAAATTATCATATTAACCTTTTCTCTTTCCTATATGCTAAATGATATAAACGTTTACTCATGTTCATTTTCCTTTAAATATTTTTTTTTATTAAAATAGTAAGTGAGAAAGCTCAAGTAGCCACATGGAGAGGTCATGTGTAGGTATTGTGACTGGCAGACCTAGCTGAAGTCCCAGCCCATAGCCAGCATCAACTGCAAGTCACGTGAATGAAAAGCCTTCAGATAATTCCAGCCCCTAGTCATTGCATTATTCTCAGGCACCACGTCTTCCCAGCTGAGACTTCAAACATAATGTAATAGAAAGAAGCTGTTCCTATGGCATCCTACCTGAATTTCTGACTCATAGAAGATGTGAACATAACAAATGGTTGTTTTACGTCACTAAGTTTGAGGTGGCTTGTTACACAGCAACGATTAATGGAAAAACAGTCTTTCATATTTTCATCCACGTACAAATTTCAATGGTCATCATCTGCTACTATCCTTCTAAGGAACATGTCAGTCTGACATATACATTTCCTAGCCATTCCATTTTCAAAGAAACTACTCTCGCTCAAATACTCTTCACATAACAGTACCGCTCATTTTTCTGGGCCTTGAACAGCTGAAAAAATTAAGGAGAGAGTCACTTCTCTCAAACTGACTTAACTAGAATATTTACCTGGGTATTTGAAATAAGGATGATGAGAGCCTGAATTAATTGGCAATGGAATAGAAAAGAGAAACATGGGGAAGGAAATTTCACTTATGAATAACAGAAGTTTTGAAAATTCTACAGTTGTCACTTTTTTTGTGTGTTCTAGATGTTTAAATTTTTCTTTGATTCAAAATCATATGTATAATTAAAATGCTTATAGTCACTAGCTTAGGAGGCTTTCATTTTCTTGCTATAAACCATCCTTGACTTTACTCAGATGGTATACTTCGGTTGTTCAGAACTGATTTTACTCATACTGTTCTCTCTCTCTGGAATGCAAACTTCAATGCTCAAATCTTAGCTTCTTTTGGAAATATTCTTGAGTTTCCAAGGTGCAATTTATGATTTTATCTGTAGTGATTTACTTTGCACTCTACTCACACCTTTAGAACCAACTCTCCCACTGGATTTTAATCATTTGTGTACATTTTTTGTTCCCCCACTGGATTGAACACGAACAGAATGAGCAACACTCATTATCATATACAGTAGCACAGCATGAGAAATTCACCCTTATCACATGACCTTTTAAGTTGCATATGATTTGTACAATTCTACCAAAAATGATCAGTCCTAAGAGACAGTATGCATTTTAGTCTCTACTCAGAATAGGTGGGAAATTAATATTTATTATATTGTATGTTCCAGGTACTCTCAGAAACCACCTCTGGCCTGAAAAGGGGCCGACTGAAACATATACCTATTTGAAGATCCCTGGCACACAGATACAGCAGAAGAAGCCCAAATGGTAAGATACTCATGACTGTGTCATGGATGGGCCATGCTGAAACCAGATTAACCATTCCAAGAAAGGAGAGTAATTTACCTTCAATTACTTGATAGAATTGGTTATAATCCCAATAGCTAAATATTTATAAAATGTGTACCACCATTTACTTTTTCCAGTAGCTACTATATAAATACCAATTGGATAATTTTTGAAGCACTGAGAGTTATAAAATGAAAGATGCTATAGTAATACCGAGAATTATTATCTCCTTGAAAAATAAAACAGGTAAGATATAGATTCATAAAATTTGCTGATGACAGATAGCTATCATTAGTCCTTCACAGGAATGAGAGAAAAAAATGAATCTTATGCAAATAAATGGACAGAGTTTATAAAATGAATACAACTAAATGAAATACCTTAGAAAGTGAATAGCTAAGTACTTAGGAAAAAAGAGAAGAATGTACTCAAATTAAATAACAAGGAAAGTTATATTTCAGGGAACATAAAAATAAGCACAGTTCATAGTGAAGGTGAAATTAGAATATGCATAATGTGAAATAAAAAGAAAAATGTAATTTGGGTTAGATTTTCTGAGCAGCTAACTGAACTTTTCAGGTGACAATTCCTTTCCATTCTGCAGTGAAATGACACAGCAGGAGGTATGACTTTTCTTTTTTCTTAGCATTTTTGCCATTTAGAAATGGAATATGTGAGGGGATTTATTCTATTTAAAACAAAAAATGGAACTTTAAATGTGGTATCATGAAGCTAGATTTGAAATATTAATAACCTGATTTACATTCTACCTCTCTGGAAAAATGTAAGCAACAGAATTTCCATGAAGCTCTAAGGGTTTGAAATTAGCTTAGAATGCTAATAGGGCAGGGCACATTACTACAAAATATTTGAAGATCGTAAGCACCAAGATGGGAAGGAGAATGCTGTCTGATCCAAAAGAGAATAATGAAAAGAAATAGGAGGAAATTGAGCAAAGGAAACTTTATCCTACTATCCAAAAAATTGCTCAACAGTGACAGTGGAACAGAGCCCCAAGGAAGTGCTAAAAGGTTGATGACATGGAGAATTTGAACCAGTCTACATCTCTCTCTCTCTTTTCTTTTTTGAGACAGAGCCTTGCTCTGTTGCCCAGGCTGGAGTGCAGTGGTGCGATCTCAGCTCACAGCAATCTCCGCCTCCCAGGTTTAAGCGATTCATGTGCTTCAGCCTCCTGAGTAGCTGGGATTACAGGCATGCACCATCACACCCGGCTAATTTTTGTATTTTTAGTAGAGATGGAGTTTCGCCATGTTGGTCAGGCTGGTCTTGAACTCCTGGCCTCAAGTGATCCACCCGCCTTGGCCTCCCTAAATTCTGGGATTACAAGCGTGAACCACTGCGCGCTGCCCCAGTCTACATCTCAGTGAAAAAATCCTGTTTAACATCATTCAAAATACGCTGCCTAGGCTTGGTGGGAGAGGCAACATATAGCAAGCATTATTTTTCTCTCATTTGTAGCAGCCCTAGTTGATCAGGTTCACATATATTGTGTGCTTATCACTTCTGGATCTGGAAATTACAAATGTGCATGGAACATAGGAAAAAGCAAAGGAGACTCAATCATTTAAAAATTGTAGAGCTGGCCGGGCGCGGGTGGTTCACGCCTGTAATCCCAGCACTTTGGGAGGCCGAGGTGGTCAGGTCACGAGGTCAAGATCATCCTGGCCAACATGGTGAAACCCCGTCTCTCCTAAAAATAGAAAAATTAGCTAGGCGTGATAGCGTGCGCCTGTAGTCCCAGCTACTCAGGAGGCTGAGGCAGGAGAATAGCTTGAACCCGGGAGGCAAAGGTTGCAGTAAGCTGAGATCGCACCACTGCACTCCAGCTTGGGTGACAGAGCGAGACTCCGTCTCAATTAAAAAAA
Organism: Homo sapiens; assembly: GCF_000001405.40. NCBI lineage: Eukaryota > Metazoa > Chordata > Mammalia > Primates > Hominidae > Homo > Homo sapiens. The sequence goes on along the minus strand of NC_000006.12, from coordinate 96,367,473 downwards.
AAAAAAAGAAAGAAAAACAAAACAAAAACAAAAACAAAAGAAAAATTGTAGAGCTGAGAGAAACTAAAGAGTCAATATGCCCCAGCTTATTTATTTTACAAATTAAACCACCACCACCACCAAGGAAACAAACAAGCTCCAAACTTAATGCCCAAGAGTAAGTGATTAATTGAAGATCATATAATTAGCCTGTGGCAAAGCCAAAACTGGGACCAACATTTCCTGACACAAACAAAAAATCTAGTTTCCTTTCTATTCATATTCTCTTGGCCAATCAAGAGCTTTCATAACTGCTTAGTAACTGGATGCCAAGCGGCTTAGACCTCCTATCTTCCTGAATTTAATTTGTGTAATACAGCAAGTCTCCATAGCCTGAGCTTCTTAGCACAGATTGGAACAGGAGCCGAAAACTCAAATAGTATTGGGACAAGACTGGTAATAGAAATTATCAAAGCAGATAAATGTTTCCATATTAAATGAATAGAAATAATTCTCATTTTCCACAAAGTCATATGTACCCATTGTTTTCCTTTTTGACAAATAAACTTTGGGTATATTTAAGGGATACAATGTGATGATTTATGTATACATTGTGAAATGATTACCACAATCAACATAATTAACACGTCCAACACCTCACATTACCATTTGTGTTGTGTGTGTGTTCATGTGTGGTGAAAACAGTTAAAGATCTATTCTCTTAGGAAATTTCAAGTCCATAATAGAGTATTTTTAACTACAGTCAGCATACTATACATTACACCTTCAGAACTTATTCATCTTATCACTGAAAGTTTGTATACTTTGATTAACATCTATCCATCCCCCAACCTTGGCAACCACCATTCCACTTCCATGGATTCAAATTGTTTAGATACCACATATGTGGATTTATAAAGTATTTGTCTTTTTTGGGTGACTTATTTCATTAAGCACAATGTCCTCCAGGTTCATCGATGTTGTTTCAAATAGCAGGATTTCTTTCTTTTTTATGGCTAAATAATAGTCCATTATGTATATTTACCATATTTAAATAATCTATTAATCCATTGGCAGACACTTTGGTTGATTCCATATCTTGGCTTTTGTGAGTAATGTTGCAATGAACCTGGGAGTGCAGATATCTGTTTGAGATACTGATTTTATTTCCTTTGGATGTGTATCCAGAAGTGAAATTTCTGGATCATATGGTAGTTCTATCTGATTTTTTGAGAAAACACCATACTGTTTTCCATAAGGGCTAAACCAGTTCACATTCCTTCTAACAATGTACTAGGGTTCCCATACTCCTGCCAACACATTTCTTGTCTTTTTTGTAATAGCTATTCCAAGAGGTATGAGGTAATATATCATTGTGCTTTTGATTTGCATTTCCCTGATAATTAGTGTTGTTGAGAACATTTTCATATACCTGTTGACCAGTTGTATTAATATATCTTCTTTGAAAATAAAGTCTATTCCAATCCTTTGTCCATTTTTAAAAATATGGCTATTATTATTTTTTGCTATTAAGTTGTATAACTTTCTTATACATTTTTGTATCTTAACCCATTATCAGATACATGGTTTGTAAATATTGTCTCCCATTCCATTAGTTGCCTTTCATTTTTGTTGATTGCTACCTTTTCTGTGCTGGATCTTTTTATATAGTCCCACTCATTTATTTTTGCTTATTTACTTTTAGTTAGTTTTGTTTATTTTTACCTGTTTATTTTTTGTTGTTTGTGCTTTTGTGGTCATATTGAAAAAAATCCTTGCCAAGACCAATGTCAAGAAGCTTTTTTCCTATACAGATGCTCCTTGACTTACAATGGGACTATAATCCAATAAACCCATCATAAGTTGAAAATAGTGTACGTTGGAAATGCATTTAACACGTCACCAATTTAAAAAATCATGGTAAGTCATGGACCATCTGTATTTCCTTCTAGGAATTTTATGATTTCAGGTCTGAGATTTAAGTCTTTAATTCATTTTGAGTTAAATTTTGTGGATAGTATAAGATATGGGTCCCATTTCATTCTTTTGCATGTCAATATTCAGTTTTTCCAACACTGTTTATTGAAGAAACTGTCATTTCCCTATTATGTGTTCTTAGCACCCTTGTTTATTTCTGGGCTCTATATTCTGTTCCATTGGGCTATGTCTGTTGTTATGCCAATACCATGCTGTTTTGATTACTATAACTTGGTAATAAAATTTGAAATCAGGAAATGTGATGGCTCTAGCTTTGTTCTTCTTTATCAAGATTGCTTTGGCTATTTGAGGTCTTTTGTGATTCCATATGAATTTTAGGACTGTTTTTTCTATTTCTGTGAAAAATGTCTTTGAAATTTTGATAAGACTGAATCTATAGATAGCTTTAGGTAGTGTGGACATCTTAATAATATTACTTCTAATCCATGAACATGGGTTTTCATTTACTTGTGTTTTCCTCAGTTTCTTTCATTAATGTCTTATAGTTTTGAGTGGATATACAGATCTTTTACTTCCTTGATTAAATTTATTTCCGACTATTTTATTATTTCTGATGCTATTGTGAATGGGGTTGTTTTTCTAATTTACTTTTTGGAGAGTTCATTGTTAGTGTATAGGAACACAACTGATTTTTGTATGTTAATTTTGTATCCTACATCTTTACTAAATTTGCTTATTAATTCTCACAGGTTTTTGTGGAGCCTTTCGGATTTTTTTATATAAAAGGTAATATCATTTGCAAATAAACAGTTTTACATCTTTATTTCCCATTTGGATACATTTTATTTCTTTTTCTTGCTTAATCCCTCTGGCTGGAACTTCCAGTAATATATTTAATATTAATGGGAAGGGTGGGAACCACTACGCTGTTCCTAATCTTAGAGAGAAGGCTTTCAGCATTTCATCATTGAATATGATGTTAACTGTGGGTTTGTCATCTATGGACCTTATTATGTTGAAGCAGATTTCTTCTATATCTAATTTAAGAGTTTTTTAAAAAATCATGAATAAATATTGAATTTTGTCAAATGCTTTCCCTGCAACTATTGAAATATTTCATTATTATTATTAATAACAGAAACTATTTTTTATTCTGTTAATGTGGTATAGTAAATTTATTGATTTGCATTTATTGAACCATCCTTTCATCCCTGGGATAAATTCCACTTGATTGTAATAAATGAATACTTTAAATGTGCTATGAATTCAATTTGTTAGGTTTTTTAATTGAGGGTTTTTATATCTGTATTCATTTTCTTTTCTTGTGGTGTCCTTATGGGCTTTAGTATGAGGATAATGCTGGTTTTGTAAAATAAGTTTAGAAATGTTGACTCTTTTTCAATTTTTGGGAGTTTTGAGAAGCATTGGTATTAGTTATTCTTTAAAAGTTTGGTACAATTCACCCATGAAGTCATTTGGCTCTGGACTTTTCCTTGTTGGGGAGTTTTTGATTACTGATTCAATCTCATTACTTATTATTGGTCTGTTTGGACTTTCTATTTCTTCATAATTCAGTCTTGGTAGGTTGTGTTTGTCTAGTAATGTATCCATTTCTTCTAGGTTATCTAATTTGTTAGTGTATAATTGTTCACAGTAGTCTCATGATCTTTTGTATTTCTGTGGTATCAGTTGCATTGTCTCCTCTTTCATTTATGGTTTTATTTATTTGAGTCTTCCTTATTTTATTTTATTTTTTTGGTTAACCTAGCTAAAGATTTGCCAGTTTTGTTTATCTTTTTAAGATGCCAACTCTTAGTTTTGTTGATTTTTTCAATTGTCTATTCTCTATTTCATTTATTTGTCCTCTAATTTGTATTACTTCATTTTTTCTACTAACTTTGTGCTTAGTGTTTTTCTTTTTTTAGGCTGTGTATTTGACATCTTTTTTTTTTTTTTTCTCCTTATTGAGATGGAATCTCACTCTGTGGCCCGGGCTGGAGTGTAGTGGCGCTATCTCAGCTCACTGCAACATGTGCCTCCCGGGTTCAAAATATTCTCCTGCCTCAGGTTCCCCAGCAGCTGGGATTACAGGCACCCACCACCAGGCCCGGCTAATTTTTGGATTTTTTAGTAGAGACAGGGTTTCACCATGTTGGCCAGGCTGGTCTCAAACTCCCGACCTTGGGTGATCCATCCACCTCGGCCTCCCGAAGTGCTGGAATTACAGGCATGACCCAGCTAGCCCAGCCTATATTTTCTTAATATGGGCATTTATTGCTATAAACATCTCTCTTAGAACTGATTTTGCTGCATCTCATAAATTTTGGTATGTTGTGTTTTTATTATCATTTGTCTCAAAATACTTTTTGATTTCCTTTTTTCTTTGACCTGTCCTGTTGGTTGTTCAGGAGTGTAATTTCCACACATTTGTAAGTTTTCCAGTTTTCTTCCTATTTCTTGTTTCATGTGATTGTGGTCATAAAAAAAAACTTAATATGATTTCAGACTTCTTAAATTGTTAGGACTTATTTTGTGGCCTAATATATGATTTATCCTGGAGAATGTTCCATGTGCATTCAAGAAGAATGTGTATTCTGCTGCTGTTGGATAGAATGTTCTGTATATGTCTGTTAGGTCCACTTGGTTATAGCATTATGTAAGTCTGTTGTTTCCTTATTGATTTTCTGTCTGGATGATCTATCCATTGTTGAAAAGAGGGAATTTAAGTCCCCTACTATTACAGTGTTACTGTCTATTTCTTCCTCCAGTTCTGTTGATATTTGCTTTCTATATTTAGGTGCTCCAATGTTGAATCTATATATATTTACAATTATTATATCCTCTTGATGAATTGAACCATTTATAATGTCTTTCTTTGTCTCTTATGAAAGATTTTGACTGAAAGTCTATTTTGTCCTATATAAGTATAGCCATCTCCACTTTCTTTCAGTTATCACTTTTGTATTAGAGTTCTCCAGAGAAACATAATTAATAGAATATATAGATAGATAGATTAGATATAGATATAGATAGATGGATAGATAGATAGATAGATAGATAGATAGATAGATAGATAAGACTTATTATGGGAATTGATTCACGTGATTATGAGCACCAAAAAGTCCTAAAATGTGTTGTCTGCAAGCTGAAGAACCAGAAAAACTGGTGGTATAATTACTCTCAGTCTAAAGGTCTGAGAACCAGGGTATCTAATGATATAATTTTTAGTTAAAGGTGAAAGGTGTGAGAATAAGGGTGGGGGAATTGGGTGAGCCCTAGTGTTAGTCTTGCACTCTTAAGGCCTGAAATCTGGGGTTTTCATGTCCAAAAGGAGGAGAATATGGACATATCATCTCCAGAAGAGAAAGCAAATTCACTCTTCCTCTACCTTTTGTTTCATCTGGGCCTTCAACGGCTTGGATGAGGCCTGCCCACATTGGTGAGGGTAACTCTTATTTACTCAGTCTACTGATTCAAATGATAATCTATTCTGAAAACACACTAGCAGATACACCCAGAAAAAAAAAGCTTTTCCTGTGTTTTGTGCATCCCTTAACCCAGGCAAGTTAACACATAAAATTAACCATCATAATCTGCACTATCTTTTTCCATCCCTTTACTTTAAGCCTAGGTGTGTTGTTAAAACTAAAATTAGGCTTTTGTAGGCAGCATATTGTTCAATCTTGATTTTTAAAAAATCTCTTTAGCCACCTATGTCTTCTGTGTAGACAGCTTAAACCATTTACATTTAAAGTGATTATTGATAAGTAAGAACTTACTTTGGCTATTTCGTTGTTTTCTATTTCATAGTTCTTTCTATCCTTTCTTCCTCCTATTTCTGTCTTCCTTTGTGATTTCTTGATTTTTTGTAGTGATATAATTTGGTTAATTTCACTTTATATTTTTATTATTGTTTTAAACATGTCACCATCCTAATTGTCTTTTTTTTTTTTTTTTTTTTTGAGACAGAGTCCTGTTCTGTTGTCCAGGCTGGAGTTCAGTGGCGAGATCTTGGCTCACTGCAACCTCCGCCTCCCAGGTTTAAGCGATTCTCATGCCTCAGCCTTCTAAGTAGCTGGGACTAAAGGTGTGCACCACCATGCCCACCTAATTTTTGTATTTTTTGCATGTTGGCCAGGCTAGTATCAAACTCATGACCTCAAGCAAGCCACCCACCTCAGCCTCCCAAAGTGCTGGGATTACAGATGTGAGCCACTATGCCTGGCCCTAATTATCTTTTGCTTTAATACTTTTTACTAGATTCATTTAATTATTCAGTAAACATTTAAGGCAGAAGCAAGGTTAATATGTTTGAGTAACTGTGGAAGGCCAATGTGGCTAGAATAGAGTGAGCAAAGCAAAGAGTGATTGGACATGACATACAGGAGAATGGCAGGCCCTAGATCATGTTTAGACCTAGTGAATAGTAAGGATTTTTATTTTATTTTATTATGTATGTTACAGAGGAGGTGATTAACTGTCTCAGTTTACTTGGGACCAATAATGTTCCTAGAACATGGAAGTTTTCACGTTAAAGTTAGGAAAGGGCCAGGCGCAGTGAGTCAAGTTGGTCACCCTAGTGATGGGAAACCATCTGATGATTTTAATCACAGTACATAACATGACTTGTTTTAACATTTATGAAGATCACAATGACAGAGAACTGACTAGAAATTTGGGAGTAAGACAGGGAGGCTTGTTAGGTAATTATTGTGGTAGTCTTAGTGAACAACGATGGTGGTCTTTACCAGAGTTTTTGTGATGGCCCATAGTGAGCTGTGGTCAGATTTAGACAACTATCTTTTTTTTTTTCTCTCTCTCTTTCTTTATTATTATTATTATTATTATTATACTTTAAGTTTTAGGGTACATGTGCACATTGTGCAGGTTAGTTACATACGTATACATGTGCCATGCTGGTATGCAACTATCTTGAAGAAAGTGTCAGTAGACTTGTCGAGAGACTATACATCAAGAGTGATGAAAGGAGAAGAGTCATGAAATAGTAACTGGATGAATTACGGTTCTTTTCACTGAGGTGGGGAAAGCTGGTGTAAAAGCAAGACTGAAGAAGAAAATCAAGAGTTTAGGTTCAGATATGTATGCTTGAGAGCCCAATTTGTATTCAAGTGGTGATATGTAATTGGCATGTTCATATGAGTGCAGAGTTCAGAATATTTGAGGGTACAGAATTCTGAGAGTAATCAGTACAAGGAGAAATGTTTAAAGCCTAGTGCATGTGTATGGTCAGAGTATGGTAAGAGATGTGACAAGTACGATATCATGCATAAAATATGAATGGGATATTAAGGAGTGGGATGCAGATAAGGTGAGGATAGCCCTTCAAGTAAGCCTAAAAAGAGTCCATCAATAAGCTAGGAGGAAAAACTTGAAAATACAGTATCATAGGAACTAACAGAAGAAAGCATTTCAAGCACGGGTGATTGAAGAACTTGTCAAATGCTGTTGCAATGTCTAGTTAAGGTAACCACAAAGAGTTAATTTTAGGATTTAGCAAGATAGAAATTACTGGTAAGTTTGACAAGAGTGGTTTCAGTAGAGGAGAGGGAATAAGAGCCTGATTGCAATGATTAGAAAAAGGAAAAGAAGTGAAGGAGGAGAGCTATTCGTGCATTGACTATTTGGGATTTTGCTATAAAAGAGAAATGAGATAGTAGTTTGATTTGGGATGTTAAAAACAACAGAGTATTTCAAAGTTAGAAGATATTACTGCATTTTTGCATGCTGATGAGCAAAAGTCAGTTAAGAGAAAAAAAACTGATAGTGCAGAAAAATGCAAAATCTTTGAGTACGCAAAAATAGAATGGGATTCAGAACATAAGTGGAAGGGTTGGTAATAGATAGAAGCCTGACATTTTACTCATTTTAGTATTAAGTAAGGACATGGGAACAGATGTAGGTTGGTTGAGTACAAGAAATATATCTGCAACAAAAGAAATGGAAGAGCACACTCACACATAAAAATTATCAAGAGTCAATTTACCTTATGGTGGAGAGTCCCTGAGTGCTAGAAGAACTGAGGTAAATTGAAGCGCCCATGCCATCTAGAAGAAAAGCAGCTGCTACTTGGCTCTACCCAAGTATTTGTTGCCTGATCTTCTGATATTCCAAGAGATACTTGACATGTGGATTTTAATGGAAAATCTCTCAACTTTTAAATGTTGCCTCAAATTAAGTAAAACAAAGCAATCAACAGCAGCAACAACAAAAAAGCACCATATAGGACAAGCAATTACTTCTGACATCTAAATCTAACCTAGGGACGATGAGTTGAGATCTTCTGTTCTAGAGGCTTAAAATCTGGTCTCACATCTATGACGGAAGTTAGCATTTGTTCATTGCTTCTGAGGAACCGAAAATTAGGCAAATACTATTGTATATTATCCCACACTCTTACTTCCAATCTAAGAGAAGAAATTTGATTTCCTAGGAAGTCACTAGTTTCCTTGAGACTTACCTGATCAGTCCAAGAGGGATTTGTGTAGAAACTGTGTATAATGCACACAACCTGGAGATTTCTTTTATTCATAACTGGGTAAATGGGGAAAATAAACATAGAAACTAAAAAAGAATTAAGTGATGCAGGAAAAAGGAGCAGAGTCCTGAGACTCAGAGAAAATAACATCCAGGAGAACTACGACCTGGAGCCCAGAGAATTTTTATTAATCTGCTAATATTTTCAATAAGTATTAGTAATTATAAAATGGTAGTAGCAGTAGTAGTAGCAGCAGCAGCTGCTGCTAAAATTTACTGAACCCTCAGTATAGGCCAGGCATTGTTCTAAGTGTTTAATAGGTATTAATTCATTTGAAACTCACACTAAACATGTAAGGTAATTAGTATTATTATTCCCATTTTAGAGATGTAAACTGAAGCACAAAGAGAGTAAGTAAATATCTCCAGGATGCAAAGTGTTAAATATAAAATAATCTAGCAAACACTTTTACATGGCTTTAATTTACCATAAAATATTTCAGCATAGAAAATGCCATGTGTATGTTAATTTTTTGATTTATATAAACTCCCAGAGTGGTTAAAATGGGGTGGTGGGAGACAGAGTTATCAGAATTTATTTAAAGTCTTTTTTTTTTTTTTTTTTTGTTAGACAGAGTCTTTCTGTGTTGCCCAAGCTGGAGTGCAGTGGTGCTCGTCTCACTGCAACCTCTGCGTCCCAGGCTCAAGTCATCCTCCTACCTCTGCGTCTCAAGTAGCTGGGACCACAGACACACTTCCATGCTTGGCTAAGTTTTGTATTTTCGTAAAGACAAAATTTCACCATGTTGCCCAAGCTGGTCATGATCCCGGACTCAAGGGATCCACCCACCTTAGCCTTTCAAAATGCTGGGATAAGAGGCATGAGCCACTGTGCCCAGCCACATTTAGTCTTTAAAGACCCTAAAGGCAGCAGCTACAAGCAAGTCAGCTTTCTTTATCTCTGGTTAGAACTGGTATAAAGGATGTGATAAATTATTTTCATTGATGAAATTAATATGTTTAAAATTTTTTAATTGGATAGAGGTACTAATCAAGCACCAGTGTGTTTGCATGAACAATGTTTACAATCAAGAAGCTCATTCCCTTTGGAGTAGTATTCAGAGGCCTAGATTCATTCCAGCCCTGAGATGAACCACAAAACAGAGGATTCCGTTGCCTGATTCTGATTAAAACCTGGCTGGATTCAACCACTAGAAAGCTGTTACATCTGTCTCAAATGGATCTTCTTACAAGGTACCCTAGAGTATTTAAAGAGATGGGGCCTGAGACTTCATCATTCTTCATGTGAACAGACCATATGACTATTCTTGCACCATTTGCTGCAATCCAGTCAGAAGTGGCAGGGTTGAGACCAACCCCTACCTTCACTGGAACATTCAACCTGTTACTGGGTAGTGAGGAGCAACCTGTAGTTCTTTTCTGCCTTTAAGTACTTTAGGCTGCTGCTATCTGCATCTGAAGAATCTAATAATTATTGGCTTAATTCATAACAAATATATTAATTAAGCCAAGTTGGCTTAATTCTAAGCAAATATATCAGTATAATAAAATAGATATGGAATTTTAGAATTTTTTCAGGGAAAGCTATTTTAAATGCAAACCAAATAAGGTTGGATAAAGAAGGTCATTTTATATTAATGAAAGGTACAATTAGGAATAAGGATATAATAATAGCCTGTTTGATAATAAACCTAATAATAATAGCCACAATTTATTTTATCCTGGCTACTGGTGAATGTGCAGAACTCTTTAGATACATGATTCTGCTTCACACTCATTTTGTGATGATAGGAAATTTTTAAAATCTGTTTTCCATATGAGGAAGCTGAGTGTCAGAAACATTACGTAACTTTCTCGAGGAAGTTTTTCTGTATAAAATGGCAGAGAAAGACTCAAAATCAAAAATTTCTCCCTCTAAAATTGATGCTCTTAAGTACTATATTGTATTGTTTGGTATGCTTTGCATAGCACCCTCTATTCACTCATTTATTAAATAAATATTTAGTGAGTGTCTACTACTAGGTCTCAGGCTTTGAAACTGATAGTGGAAATACAACAAATAAATAAGACAGACAAAATCCATGCCCACATGGAGCCTGTATTGTGACTTTAAACTAGTAATTACACTAATAACTGCAAAAGTGCAATTCTGGTGCTAAGAAAAAGTGGTACAGAATGAATGCAGAGAGCTCTGAGAACATATACAAACGAGATCTAACCCGAGTGGCACAAAGTACAGAGTTATTGAACAAAACTTCCCTGGGAGAGAGACTAAAAATTAGGTGTCCTGTTGTCCTCCAAGAAATACGGATGCAGCAGATCTGAGAGGTGCCTGTCGTATTATTAAATAGAATGCTTAACACAACATAAACACTTTACAATTAAACATATAAATTAGTGGGAGAAATTATTCACATCCACAGTGAATTCCTCACACCACAAAAAAAATTACAGAATCCCCTTATGTAGGACCTTATCAAGTGTTTGTTCACAGATTATTAAATTCATACAGAGAGAGGATCAAAAAGTTCAAGGGTTCCACAGCACCTGCTGCATAAGCATAAACTAGAAGTTTTAATGACATGAATCTCGGCAGTCATAAAAAGTACTATCACTTGTCCAGTGATTTTTATTTTCATTTTAGCCATAGGAAGTTGAAATACTCAATCCTTTGTTTCAATTCCAGATTTGCTTTACATGTGTTGAATCATTCATTCCAACCCAAAGAGATACGTACTATTACTTATGCCTTTTCATGTTGGGGAACCTGATCATAAAATGTAAAATAATTTGCCAAAGCTTGCATGTTTAGTAACTGGAATTCAAACCCCAGGATTCAAACATAAGCACTCTGACTCTAGAGTCCTGTTCCTAACACCAAGTTAGACTTTATAGGCTCTCATGTTAAGTGCTAGAATATTTAGAAAATATCTGTATACATATATACTCCTAAGAGTTGATGTATCTATGAAATGCATACATGTATATATGTTTTAATTTCCAAATTTTTATTCCACAGAAAGTAGAAAATATCAGAAGAAAAACTTGAGAAATTCATAAAAAATAAAACTCTGATGAGTACTCTGGGAATGAAATGCCTTATTGGTAAATTCCCTTTAACTTTTCTTGCATAGATCATTTGTATGCCATATCCAAAATTTCATAGTCTGCAGTGTAGGTGGGGCATACTCCCATATTATTTCATAAAACAAACACAGCCCTGAAACTCAAACTGAAAAATATGGCACAAAATACTGTAGACAAATATAGTTTTCCCTAGATTGCAAAAAGCTAAATATTACTGTATTAATCAATGCATCATATTAATATCATTTTTGTTGGCAGCTAATGTTGTAGGTGTTTGGAATACATGTGTGCATAAAGGAAGGATTCTTGCACAAATGGAGTTTATCTACTAGTAAAGAGAAAGACACACATTAAAAAGAATCCAGTAAATAATTAAATCATGTTGTATAATAGAAAGCTGATAAATTTTATGGAAGTGAATAGAAAAAAAGGAGCAAAATAATGGAGGTTGGGAGCACTAGATGGGTTAGGAAAGATGGTTATAATTTTAAATAAGGTGGTGACAGTAGACCTCGTTGAGAATGTGACATTTGAGCAGACTTGACCAAGGTGAGAATCTGCTCTACAGTTATCTTGGGGGAGTCCACTGTAGGCAGAGGAAACAGCTTGTGCTGGAATTTACCTGACATAGTTGAAAAAGAGCAGGGAGGCTGTTGTGTCTAGTGTGGAGTGCGCAGAAGGAAATGTAGTAGGAGATGAGGTCAGAACATATGGAGACATGGGCCCTTATAGGAAATGGAGAGCCACATTGGGTTTTGAGCAGAGCAGTCATATTATTTGAGATACGTTCTAAAAGGATCCCTCTGGCTACTCTACTTGAGAATATACTGTAAGGCAGTAGAGAGATGAGATGGGAGCCAGACAAGTAATTTGGGCCAGACACAAGAGTAATGTAATGAATATAGGTCAGATTCTGGCTCAATTTTAAGGATAGACCTAACAGGATGTTGATGCATTGGATGTAGGGTGAGAGAAAAAGAATGGGGTCAAGAATGCCTGTAAGATTTTTGCATGAACATCTGGAAGGGGAAGATAGCTGGCGGCAGTGTAAGTCAGGAATGTTGAAGGGGCATAATCAGGAGACTAGTTTAAAATATGCTGAATCTGAGAAGTGTCCTAAGCACTGAAGTAGGCGTGTCAAATAGGTAATTCTGAGTGTAGGTGAGATTCCTTGGCTAGGGATAGTAACTTGGGATTCATCTGTATAAGGATGGCATTGAATGCCCTGAGCATGGAAGAGATCCCCAAGAGTGAGCATAGAGAGAGAAGAAGCAGCCCACCACGGACTGAACCGTGGGACCTCCAACATTAAGAAGTGATGGAGTACAGGATAAACCAGCAAAGAAGACTGAGAAATGAAAACCAGTTAGGTGGTATTTAATATTGTACAATTAAATAAGCTGTGGTTCCCTCTGTTATCTTCACAGATGGGAACTGTGCTTTATTATAATAGTTGTGGAAGTGGGGATACTATTTATACTTGTGGATGCCCTTCTTTCTTGCAATGACTGTTGGAAGTCATAGCAGAGCATGAATACTGCTCTGAGCTTTATGAAACTTGTATCTACTTGCTCTTGTTTATAAGACAGTTACCAAGTCTGTCTGAGTCTGTCTCTGCAGCAAGTCTCCTCCCCTCCCCTTCACATCTTTTTCTCTCTCACTGAACACTGTTCAGATAATGCCCTTCTTGCTTTATAGTGGCCTCAGCTACTAGTTTTGTACAGTGACATTTCCCAAGATGGTATTTCTCAGTACTCTGGTTTATAAGATGTTACTAGAAGTTATTAAGTGTACTGTGAAGCATTATCCTCTTTGACTCCCAGTTCTCTTACTCATCCTTCAAGGTCCAGTTCAAAAGCCACTTCCTTTGGGCATTCTTCCCTGATCCTGCTACTCCGAAGCAGGAAGGAACCTCTTTTCTTCTGCACTTCCATAGCTCTTCATGTCCTCCCAATTTATGGGTGCTTGTAACTGTTATCTTGCGTCAGAGTAATTCTCTCTTAGACTCTAGGTCTTTTGATGTCAATGTCTACATACCCTCACAAAATATAGCACTAATCTTACCTCTAAATATAAATAACACAGTTATTTGAAAGCTAGAAATGAAAATACAATAGTCATCTAATTCTATCCTGTTGTTGTTTTCCTTTCCAGAACAAATCCAATTCTGAAAGAAGTTATAAATGTCAACTAGATCTATGTGAATGCTTTAAAAAATTATTATTAAAGACTAGTTCAGGCATTCAAAAATCTTACACAATACTCTTATCGATTGATTCTAATTGACTTTTAAAACCTGCTATGATATATAATGAATATATGTTTTCCAATACACAAAGCTAATGATTTAGAACAGATTTTCTTTCCTTAGAAATTACCTAGTGAAATATAAAAATGAAGTTTTATGGAGATATAAAGCAAGAAGTATAAAAGTATTACAAATGAGGTATCTGAGGTATTACCTACCATTACTTTTCTATTAGCAAGGGTATATGATAGTTTCATTTGTTTTAGGAAGATATATTATATAAGGGAATGAAATCCCAGACACAGAAGGGAATGTACATTGATTTCTTTGAAAATGATTTATGATTTAGGCTCTGGTGGGAAATCATTTTTTTTTTATTTTACATCTCACTTGAAAACATTTACCTAATTTGGTCTAAAAAGTTTCCTTTTCTCCTGAAAAAAGTCTGCTGTTAAATGAAAACTTCCGTAAAAGTTCTACATTTTCTGATTGTTTTAGAGTTCAAAGTTTAAAGAAAATAACGTGGACCTCAAATTCCTCTTTAATTATATTAAGGACATAGATCAATGATAGCTTAGTGACACATTTGAAAATAGTCTTAAGTGATGGGGAGATGGATCAAGGTCAAGTTGGCTGTTCTAAAGTAGTGTGTTGAAAAGTCTGTTTTATCCCTGTGGTTTACATGAGGAAAGATTTCACTCTATAGATTTTAATTGTCTAAACACTTCTGTTTTATTAAGAATGATCAAAACTTCGTTGCTCATACCATATTTAATATTACATCATTATTACTGAGAAAGTAATGATATTTTGTGAATCTGATAGTATAGAGAAGATAATTAAAACTTACAAACTTTCTTGAAAGTTTTAGAAAGCATAATATAATTTCTTGCACATAAAAGAGAACATCATACTTATGCATATCAATAAATTAAGGTAAAGTGTTGGTAATTAAATGTATAATTTGATTAGCATGTGGTAAATTTAAGACATAATGACAGATCTACGACTCTGATCTTTTTTACATATTCACATTAGAATTATTTCTACTTGATAGCAATCAGATTGATTGAAGAGTTATTTATGAAAGAATTGCACACAAACATTGTATACAAGTTTAGTTTTGACGGTTTAATTTTTAACAAAAGTGGAATAATATAATAGAAAAGATTAGTGTTAAAAATTTTCCCAATTCTTCATGTATGTACATGTGAAAAAGTTAGGAAATTTTATCAATGCGAGTTGTCTTGAACATTCTTCTTTATTCATTAAATAAAACCAAAAGCTCGAAATTCCCCAAATGTATGATGAGTTGATTGTATCGCACCCATTTTTCTTTAGCTTGAAATTCCCCAAATGTATGATGAGTTGATTGTATTACACCCATTTTTCTTTAGCTTGAAATTCCCCAAATGTATGATGAGTTGATTGTATTACACCCATTTTTCTTTTAACCTTTGGATATCTTCTACTAATTGTTAGTGACTTGCTGCTTCTTTCCGTCATGTAAAGGAGTCCACTTGCCTGATAGTAGTTGGAGCCTCACCAACATGTTATAATTCAAGTTCCCGGGGGTGAAAAAATAATTTGACATACAATTTATAATCTGAAGACAGAGCCAAATGTAACTATTTATTTTGTAATTTTTATCCTGAATTTTGGTTGGCAGGGTTAGGGAGAGGTGTTAGAAGGAGATGGCATTCAAGAATGCAGAGTTACCTAAAGATATTTTGGCAAAAGTAAGGAGAAGAAGAGGTATGGAAGTAGGAAACCTCAAGAAAGAAATTAATTTAGGGAAAACATATTTCATATTAGGCTTAAAATTCATGTATCAGTAACAGTGCAGTGTTTTAACTGCACATTATTTGGAATGTACCTATATTAATAGAATTTTCTATTGTAAACCATAAACACTTGTGGAAAGTTTATCTTTATTGCACAGTACTGACTCTTTTCCTGACTTGAGCAATAAAAACTATAACCTTGTACTTCAGCTTGAATGGATATCTTCAAGAGCTGCTTGAAAGGAGTTGATGAATAATACTGTTCATGTAGCTCATTCCACATATTGTTTTCACAAAGTGCTAAACAACACTAAGAATAACACAGCAAACAAAGAAATCAATAAAATCAACATGATTTTAATGAAGAGTAGTATTTGTTCTCTATAATGAAGAAATGCTGACATTTTGTAGTGTTGAAAATCTAGAGACAGGCACTATTTTGTTTGAAAAGTGAAGTTTCATTATAGAAACATTAGGTCTACAATGGTCTAATTGGCATGGATGCCAATTTCTTAGTGCTTCAAAGACAGCTTTATGAATGTCATAGGTTAAAGGGAGAAAATGCAACATCAATTTGATTAATATTCAGAGCTAATGGAAAAAGAATGATTGATTTTAATTTCCTTCACTACAACAACCATACCTGTATAATGATGTGCCAGAGAATGAAGAAAAGAACTGATGTGGTACTTGTAGAGGTACTACTATCACAAAGGTTAAGAGCTCAGCCTCCACAGTTTGACAACTCATATTCTAATTCTGGAAAATGCCTGTTTCCACATAGGTTTATTGAGGATTAAATAAATACTACACATAAAGCACTTAAAATAGTGCCTGGTACAACAGTGTGATACCTCTATGAACCCACCAGAGTGCCTAAAATAAAAACATTCAAATGATACTAAATGTGGAAAAAGAATGTGGAACACCTAAAACTCATATATTATTACATGCAGGTACTAGAACCTCAATAAAGAAGTACGTAAAACATTAGAAAATATGTTAGCAGTCACTGGTAACATCAGGACCTGTCTAAATTCATATTACAATTATCATTTCACTTTTTTTCAGCCTTGTTGATGCCTAATCAGGACAGTATATCTCACTAATGCTGGGAGATAACATACTTCCAATAAATTGTTATTAATTAAAGTTGTTTTGTAAATACTTTATAAAGACAATGAAAATTTGGAGCAGATAATATAGCTTTAATATTTCTTTTAATTTAATTAAGAAATGGTTTATGTCAACAGATAAAAATGATATAACTGGGCCAGGCTAGGTGGCTAATGCCTGTAATCCCAGCACTTTGGGAGGCCGAGGTAGGTGGATCACCTGAGGTCAGGAGTTCGAGACCAGCCTGACCAACATAATGAAACACCGTCTCTACTAAAAATACAAAATTAGCCAGGTGTGGTGGTGCATGCCTGTAATCCCAGCTACTTGGCAGGCTGAGGCAGGAGAATCACTTGCACCTGGGAAGTGGAGGTTGCAATGAGCCGAGATGGCGCCATTGCACTCCAACCTGGGCAACAAGAGTGAAACTCTGTCTCAAAAAAAAAGACATAACTTAAGGAAGCAAAAGTTATGTGTGAGCCATAGCCAATATGACCCTCTTCCCCCCAAAAGACCCTGTATTTCTCACATGAATGTTACAACAACAATAAAGAAATTGCAAGACAAATTCACTCTCTATTCCTCGCTCTGATTCAAAAACTTCTTTTAACTTTTACCACACACACACACGAACATAGGTATGTATTCTGAGCATATACATGTATATATTCTGAGCTTAGATTTAAAAAGATACACTAAATTTTCATTATTTTTGGTATTTAAAATTTTTTGTAGCAGTGAATTGATTCACCTCATAATTTACTTATCTTATTTTTTGATGTTTAGGATAGATTTTATTTTTATTTTTAATTATGATTTCCTTAGGATTACTAGGTCAAAGGTATACACTTAGTTAGAATTCTTGGTTAAACATTTTCATTTTGCTTTTCACAAAAATGCTAATGTACACATTTTCACACTGTACGTCACAAGTATAGCCAAGTTTAATCACATTCTGGTTATTAAATGACATGCTGGTCAGTATAAAATATCACCAAAGAAGTTGCTGTTACAAACTTATCATATAATAAATGTGTGACTTTTTAACTTTTATTATTTAGGTCAATAACGTAGTTATATATTTCTCAGATGGTTACTCAATAGTTGGATTGCTGCTTCTTTTGAATAATCTCTGTAAATCCTTTGTCCACCTAACTGTGTGAATCCTGATGCTTGTTGTATAATTGATATAATCTATACAATGTTGGGGTTAGTCTTTACCTGCTATAGTTGTCAAATTTCATTTATTTGTTTATTTATTTGAGACAGAGTCTTGCTCTGTCACCCAGGCTGGAGTGCAGTGGCGTGATCTCGGCTCACTGCAAGCTCTACCTCCCGGGTTCACACCATTCTCTTGCTTCAGCCTCCCAAGTAGCTGGGACTACAGGCACCCAACCATGCCCGGCTAATTTATTTTGTATTTTTAGTAGAGATGGCTTATTTTTTTTTTTATAATAACCAAAGTCATATATGTTTTCCTATTGTGGTCAACTTGTTTATGCACAAAGGATATAATTTTAAAAAATTCTTCTGCACATCAGTGCCATTATCTTGTTAGTTTTCTCTATTTTAATATTTTACATTTAACTCTTTAAATATCCTAAAGTGTATTTTCCACATGGTATTTGGTGTGATTGAAATAATTTTCCTAAATGGTTTTGCTTTACTGCATATCACAAAATAAACAAACAAATTAAACTAATGTGAGCCTTCCTAGAGATGGGTGTCATCTCTGACTTTGAAAAGAGTGAAATATAATACAGATGTTATAATGAAATTGAGAGGCAAGCATTCCCTTGTGTTGAGTTTATGTTTTTATTTTTACACTCATGATTTGTGCTAGTATAACTGAGATGTCAACTATGGTCATGACACCTTTTGAGAATAAATATCAACTGGATTAAATTTTGATCACAAAAAAGTTGAGACTAATATTTTCCTTAATGTATCAGGGATGCTTGTAGGAGGTGGACTTGCATTTTAGAATTCTGTAATTTATCCAATTCCTGTACCAAGATTTTGCTTCCATTGAATTCTCTATCTTATCAGTTCTCTCCTCCTAGGGTTGTTCTCCTTTCCCTGCTTCAGGCATGAAATAGAAGCCATGTAACTCCCTTTCTAATGATACCATACGTCCTGGGTGTTTAGGTGTGTAACAAATTTTGGTGTTACTTTTTCTAACTTTAATATTTTTTTCCCTGACTCAATAATGAGGGTATTGTTAGCACATAAGAGAAATTAGAAGTAAGTGTTATTGTTCCGAGAGGATTTTAGACACTCCATCGTTAACATTTTTCACTTTTATTCTTATTGTTCAACATCTTACTATGTTATTTGGACTCATTTCTTCCTATGAAATAAAAATAAATCTGCTAGGACTCCCAGTGAATTTAATCTGACTCCTTGTGGCAAAAGAAACCCCAGAAAAATGTTAAAAACTAGATTCTAGAGCTTGTCAAGGCAAGAAATCGGTCATGCTTCAATACTCCCCTACCTTATTAACCCCCTCAAGACTTTCCTACATTAAACAGAAATCAGTTCCTGAAAATCGAGGTCTGGAAGATTTCTCCCTTGACCTTAATAGATCACCTGTTGTAGTCACCAACCTCTCCTGACTTAATGTGGTTTCACTGTGACAACTGACCAGCCTTAAAAAGCATTCCATCCTGATAACTGACCATCGGCTTCAAAGTGGTTCTGGGTCCACAGAGGCTGTGCACAAGATGCTTTTGTATCCTGTGTTTCACCTTCTGATGTAAAGAGCCAAGTTTTACCTTATTTTAATATTAAATCTCCACCCCAAAGTGATCAAGTGATCATGGGATGTATGTAACATATATGTTTACTCACTATGCATGCATTAGGGTTCCCTCATAAATTTCATAAGATTCTTCTATATTCTACTGTATATGTATGCATAACCAATCTTAAGAATAAATCTCAATATCTCTCCCTTTTGTCTCTGAAGCACCTGCTTTTGATTTCTGCCAGAGGTTCTGCTTCCCAACTTACAGGTTATACTTTTTTACAAGAAACAAAGCTCTCCTTTTCTGCTGTTATAGATCTTATTGTTTTAAGTTGACATTTCTTATACACAAGCTCTTTCCTCAAATTTCTGTTAAATGGCTATGTAGAGCAATATTACTATTTTTTCACTTTGGTGTTTCCATATAGAACATGTTCCTAAGGCCTCAGATTTCTATCAAGGTATTTTCTAAGCCAAGAGAAATACCTTCTTTTTGGGAATTCAGAGCCAGCTGTAAAAATAGAAATTATTTCTCTTCAACCCACCTTCTTGTTTGACCAAAACAGAATGATTTTTTTTATTTTTCTTTTTTTTCTCATTTGCCTGTGGATGATGAAAGAAATTTAATTGTGTGGGATAAGTCAGGATTTCAACTATAAGTTTAGTTTTTGTCCTCTAAATCTGACACCTGTTAAAATGAGCAAATGGAGAATGGCCTGTAGTAGATTAGCTACCTTTATGCAAGACTACAAATCATTTTGTACTAAATAATTAATATTTCTGTGATAAGCCTACAGTCATACTGGACTGAGGAAGAGACCTTACTCTCTTCGTGATTTGGGGAAAGGCATTTTGTCTATTTGGTGAAAGTGTTCTCATTTGTAAGATGAACACATTTGACCCCTTTATAAAGTAATAATGTTGACCTATTTAAAAGATATTTTTTAAAATGCATAAACTCTTGCTTCCAAGCTCATGACCTTTTGGTTTACCAAAGATAGTATATGCTTCTGTATATTTAATAGCTTCTTGGCTATTTTAAAAATAACATTTTGTGTTTTAAAATTATAGAATACTTCAGCTGTGTAGGGGGAAAAAACCTTCTAATTACAGGAGAATATCAATATCTACCACAAAGACCCTAACATAGAACAACCGCATTTTCTTATTTAGTTCACAGTTTTAATTCATACAACTTAGGAAACTAGAAGATACCAAAGAAAAATTTATGAAATGAAAATTACAGATAATCCATCACAGAGAGAGAATATTGAAATACTGTTATATAGTTTTTAATACATTCTGTTCTTTTCTCTAATGTTTTTCTAGGTCATTTAACACAGTCCTCTCTTTTGTTTATAATTAGAGTAAATGTAAAATTTAATACTTAAAAATATTAATTATCTGTTAGTAATCATAAATATTTTCAATACTGAATAATATTATTGTCCTTATTTTTAGGTTTTTAGGCAATTAGCTAATCACTTCATGCTAAAGGAAAATCGTTCCTTCTTTCTCAAGGAACTTTTTCATTTTTTTTCTATGCAACTAATAGGAACATTGGAAAGATTTCAATATTCATGTCTGATAATTTTGTGTGATTGTAGGTAGACAGTCTTGGGTGTGCTGATAAGGTAAAGAAGACACAGCTGTGGTTGGTAACTAGCACTTTAGCTTTGGCATCAAAATATATAAATTCCCTGAGAATAGTACTGCACTTCTCACTGGGCTATCTTCAGGAAAAAAATGAGATCCTTACCAAGTACAATGTACTATAAACCATGTCAGGAACCAGCATGAGTAGATTGCTATGATGACTTTCCCAGAAACATTTTGTTCCATACGTCCTGCCTGCAACACCATGTTTCCTCTGGGGGCTGTGGTTCCTGTGTTTAGAGGTGCATGGATAGATGAATAAGCAAGATCTTTTCTTCACTTGCACTATTATAAACACAAACACCAGATACAATCTCCTAACTTCTCAAATGAGTGATACACTCTATGAACAAATGGGTGATGAGACTCTAGTGTTACAAAGAAGACTGGGCCAGGATTTTAAAAATAATATCTCAAAAGCACAGGCAACCAAAGCAAACTGGACAAATGGAAATACATCAAACCAAAGTCTTCTGCACAGTAAAGGAAACAATCATTAAAATGAAGAGAAAACCTATAGAATAATAGAAAGTGTTTGCAAATTAAGCATCTGACAAAGGGTTAATACCCAGAATATGTAAGGAACTCAAACAACTTGATAGCAAGAAAACAGATAATTCAATTAAAAATGAGCAAAAGACCTGAATGACCTTTCTTAAAAGAAGCATACAAATGGCCAATAGATATGTAAAAAAGTGCTTAACATCACTAATCATCAGAGAAATGCAAATCAAAACCGCAATGAGATATCACCTTTCTCTCGTTTGAATGGCTATTATAAAAAAGACACACAAAAATGCTTGTAAGTATGCAAAGAAAAGGGAACTCTGACATACTGTTGGTGGGAATGTAAATTAGTACAGCCTTTATGGAAAAAAGTATGGCGGTTTCTCAAAAAATTAAAAATAGAACTACAATATAATCCATCAATCCCATTACTGGATATATACCCCAAAGAAATGAAATCAGTATGTCAAAGAGACACGTGCATGTTTATTGCAGCAGTCTTCACAAGACAAGATATGGAATCAACCTAATGCCTATCAGCAGATGAATGAAGAAAGAAAATGTGGTGTGTATATATATATATACACAGTGGAATAAAATTCAGCCACAAAGCAGAATGAAATCCTGTCATTTGTGGCAACATGGGAAACCTGAGGGCATTAAGTGGAATAAACCAGGCATGAAAAGAAAAATACCACATGTTCTCACTCATATGTAGAATCTTAAAAAGTTGATTTTATAGAAATAGCAGAGTTGTTACTAGAGGCTGGGGAAGGTGGTGGTAGAGGAGCAGGAGAAGTTAGTGGGTACAAAGTTACAATCAGGAAGAAAAAGGTTTGGTGTTATATGACACAGTAGGGTGACTATAGCAAATAACAATGTAGTGCATATTTCAAAATGGCCAAAAGAAAAGATTTTTAATGTTGACACCACAAAGAAATAATAAATGTTGGAAAGTGATGAATATGGTAATTACCTTAATTTGATCATTATGCTATGTATACATGTATTGAAATATCACATTGTACCTCATAAATACATGCAATTATTACGTGTCAGTTATAACTAAAAAAATAAGTTAAAAAATAAGCAGACACATAAGTAGACTGCTGATGGCAAACACAGGAGGTGTGGAGGTTGCCTCATTTCAGGAAGTGTGAATATCTAATAGCTCTTTCAAGACTTCGCTGAGTTCTATGGGAGAGCATGAGGGTGGGAAGAGGTAAAGGGTCTTTCATTCTCAAGCGCCTTTTGACTGATTCCTGCTTCTAGAAAAAGTCCTTTATCCTTTCCCTGGGGTTGAGCTAAGTGTAAAAACAGCTTCTGCTTTGGGATTGTAGCACTCCAGAGCACTATGGGTAAAAGGAAATAACATGAAGCAGTTTTTTACTCAAGCTTTATTTACTAAAGGATCCTCCTGTTGACTTCACAATAACTTAAAATCACATGGTTTATGTCCCACCTGGAGACCATGGTGGCTGTTCCTACCCTGATAGCACACTGGCCTACCACCAGCTTCCTTGCTCTCCTTTTGACCTTCATCTTGTTTTTCCTCACTCCTCTATCACTGTTATGTAGGGTAACATTTATATTTAGTTCCTGGCCCAAACTTATAAATCTGCATCCATAAAAATGCTCGGAGTACAAATTAACAATATCCCTGCTCCTTTGGAGGCTTTTATGTTTATATATAACCACTATTTTTCTGTTAAGCCTGTGTAGCATATTCTATCTGTAAACATTTTTATACTATTATTCATTGGCTTATACAAAGCTGAGATATAAACTACTATTGGGATCACCTCATAAACATAAGTGCATCCAGACTTTCTGTGACAGTGACAATTAGAGTGAGATTCTTCTCTGCCTGTGCCTTGAAGGGTAGTTTGGAGGTTACTTTTTGAACTCTCCTTAAATGACGCTGGAGTTTCTTAGACATTTTTTTCCTGAGTGTCATGCCCACATTCTGAATTTTTCTTCTTGTCAATTTGTATAGTGACATGACTTGTAAATGCCATGCTGTAGTTCTTCTTTCTTATAGAACTGTTGATATAAGTCTAATGAAATTCATTCCTTGTGTTGTTGACTTTTATTTAGATAAAGTATGTTTTAGCATTTGAATAGCTGAAACATTAACATTTGCAAAACATCTGTTGTCGTATTTATAATTAGATTTTGAATGATTTTTAAAAATCACCCTATGCACTGATATTATAGTTATTTCCAATCTATACATTGGTAACATAAGAACTCACCTATTTCCATATCTATGGCATCACTGCAAGTCATGATACTCTTTGGGCTGAGTAAAGACAGTCTAATCTTAGCAATATTCTCGAGTATATTTAAAGGATCTTTTCAAATATCAGCTGAGAGCTCAAAGATGTAGAGAGCTGGAATGGACATTGTTCCCACCCTTCTTACTACAAGAAAAAAGCTGTACAAACTGCAAATTAAGGAATTTTATTGATCTTATAAACTGCAGTTGCAGAGAAAAGAACTAATGTAAAAGTGGGGAAAGACAGGACCCAGGAATTTGCATACTTGAGCCTAGACACAATATAAGCCAGTAAGAACATGTAGCTATTTTTTTTTAAAGAAATTGCTAAAGACCAAGCATGGGTTATGATATGGTTTGGCTCTGTGTCCCCAACCCAAATCTCATCTTAAATCATATTCCCATAATTCCTATGTGTTGTGAGAGGGATCTGGAGGGAAATAATTTGAATCATGGGGATGGTTTTCCCCATATTGTTCTCATGGTAGTAATAAGTCTCATGAGATCTGATGGTTTTATCAGGGATTTCCACTTTTGCATCTTCCTCATTTTCTCTTGCCGCCACCATGTAATAAGTGCCTTTCACCTCTCGCCATGATTCGGAGGCCTCCCCAGCCATGTGGAACCATAAGTCCAATTAAACCTCTTTTTCTTCCCATTCTCAGATATGTCTTTATAGGCAGTGTGAAAATGGACTAATACAGTATATTGGTACCAGTAGAGTGGGGCATTGCTGAAAAGATACCCAAAAATTTGGAAGCAACTTTGGAACTGGGTAATAGGCAGAGGTTGGAACAATTTGGAGGGCTAAAAAAAAGACAGAAAAATGTGGGAAAGTTTGGAACTTCCTAGAGACTTGTTGAATGGCTTTGACCAAAAGCCTGATAGCAATATGGACAATAAGGTCAAGGCTGAGGTGGTCTCAGATGGAGATGAGGAACTTGTTGGGAACTGGAGCAAAGATGACTCTTGTTATTTACAAAGAGACTGGTGGCATTTTGCCCCTGCCCTAGAGATTTGTGGAACTTTGAACTTGAGAGAGATGATTTAGGGTATCTGGTGGAAGACATTTCTAAGCAGAAAAACATTTAAGAGGTGACTTGGGTGCTGTTAAAGGCATTCAGTTTTATAAGGGAAGCAGAGCATACAGGTTCAGCAAATTTGCAGCCTGACAATGTGATAGAAAAGAAAAATTCATTTTCTGAGGAGCAATTCAAGCTTGCTGCAAATAAAATGCATAAATAATGAGGCGCTGAATGTTAATTCCCAAGACAATGGGAAAATGTCTCCAGGGCAAGTCAGAGGTCTTAGTGGCAGCCCTTCTCATTACAGGCTTGGAGGCCCAGGAGAGAAAAATGGTTTTGTGGGCCAGGACCAGGGTCCCCGTGCTGTGTGCAGCCTAGGGACCTGGTGCCCTACATCCTAGCTGCTCCAGCAGTGGCTGAAAGGGGCCAACATAGAGCTCGGGTTGTGGCTTCAGAAGGTGCAAGCCCGAAGCCTTGGCAGCTTTCACGTGGTGTTGAGCCTGCAGGTGCACAGAAGTCAAGAATTGGGGTTTGGGAACCTCTGCCTAGATTTCAAAAGATGTGTGGAAATGCCTGGATGCCCAGGTGGAAGTTTTCTGCAGGGGTGGGGCACTCATGGAGAACCTCTGCTAAGGCAGTGCAGAAGGGAAATGTGGGGTCAGAGCCCCCACACAGAGTCCCTACCAGGGTACTGCCTAGTGGAGCTGTGAGAAGAGGGCCATCATCCTCTAGAACCCAGAATACTAGATCCACTGACAGCTTTCACCATTCACCTGGAAAAGCCGCAGACACTCAATGCCAGCTCATGAAAACAGCTGGGAGGGAGGCTGTACCCTGCAAAGCCACAGGGGCAGAGCTGCCCTAGACCATGAGAACCCACTCTTGCATCAATGTGACCTGGATGTGAGACCTGGAATCAAAGGAGATCATTTTGAAGCTTTAAAATTTGATTGCCTCATTGGATTTTGGACTTGCATGGGCTCTGTAACCCCTTTGTTTGGACAATTTATCCTATTTTGAATAGCTGTATTTACCCAATACTTGTACCCCTATTGTATCTAGGAAGTAACTAACTTGCTTTTGATTTTACAGGCATAGGTGGAAGGGACTTGCCTTGTCTCAGATGAGACTTTGGACTATGGACTTTTGGGTTAATGTTGAAATGAGTTAAGACTTTTGGGGACTGTTGGGAAGGCATGGTTGTTTTTTAAATGTGAGGACATAAGATTTGGAGGGGCCAGGGGCAGAATGATATGGTTTGGCTCCATGTCCCCACTCAAATCTCATCTTGAATTGTACTCCCATAATTCCCATGTGTTGTGGGAGGGACCTGGTGGGAGATAATTTGAATCATGGAGGCAGTTTTTCTCTTACTGTTCTCATGGTAGTGAATAAATCTCATGAGATCTGACAGTTTTATCAGGGGTTTCTGCTTTTTCATCTTCCTAATTTTCTCTTGCCACCACCATGTAATAAGTGCCTTTCAGCCCTGTCATGATTCTGAGGCTTTCCCAGCCATGCAAAATTGTACATTTAATTAAACCTCTTCTTCTTCCCAATCTCAGGTATGTCTTTATCAGCAGTGTGAAAATGGACTAATACAGGCTAGGAGAGTTTGAAGCCTTAGGGAGGTCCTAGACCAAGGGGTTTTGTATTCTCTTACAGGCCTTTTCTCAATGAAAGCCAGAAAATGCCCATAGGGAAGATTATTGAGAATATTGAGAAATATTTCATCTGGTTCTGGCTGGGAAAGGCGAACAGTAGTCATTGTCAAAACACTATCCGAATCTATTTCTGCTGTGCAACAAAAGTCTTAATATGCACAGAGACAGCAACAAAAACTATTGCCTTAGATTATTGGTGGAAATCCTTTGCAGCTAGGGGTTAGCTGTACCTCTGGGGAGGGGAAGGCATACACGCTAGACCCAGTATTATGGCTGAAGGAAGAGCAGAAACAACTGTGAAAGCCACAACACATAAATTCAGCCTAGAGCCTGCTTAAGAATGAGGTTTAATCAGAACGTCAGAGGATGCCCCCCTTCCCAGATCCTCCTTCTCCAGGCTAACAAGAATAGATTTAAAAAACAAATGGTGGAATGAATGTAGGACAGATCCTTTCTAGGGAGCAATGCAAAAGGGAGACCCAAAGCCAAGCAGGGAGCAGATTTGAGAAACACCCTCTGGCAAACTACCCACACCCTAAGCACAAGGCACGTGGTAGAGGAATTTGAAACCTATAGTGCACGTGCATAACTATAGCAGCAAACTTCAAATACAGGCTTTCTACTAACTAGACTAAGAAAACCCCTCACTAAAGACTCGCCAGAAGAAAAGGTATGCTTATCTCTAAGCATAAATATATTTACTACAATATTAACTGTCCTGGACATATGTATAATGTCAACAAAAATTATGCAGCGTACAGCAGGCCAGAAAAAAAACACTCTGAAGGAAGAAAGTGCTCATCAGAACCACATTCAGATCTGACATAGAATGTGTTAATGACCCGAGCAGAAACTTATTTAGTAGTATGCTAAAAGCTCTAATGCAGTGGTTCTTAACTGGAGAAAATTTTGTTGCTTAGTAGATATTTGGCTGTCTGTATTTGGTTGTCACAACTGTAGGGATTGATTCTTATCAGCATCTAATAAATGTGACCAGCGATGCTGCTAAAAATTCTGTAATATAATCCCCCATAATAAAAAAATTATGTGACCCCAAATGTTCACATTGTCAAGGTTGATTAACCCTGATGTACTGAAAACAATGTGCAACATACAAGACAAGATGGTAATTTCATCACTAGAGATAGAAAGTGTAATGAAGAATAAAATGAAATGCTAGAAGTAAAAAATAGTAACAGAAATGAAGCATGTCTTTGATGTGCTCATCAACAGACTTGACACAGCTGACAATTCAGTGAACCTGAAGGTAGTACAATAGAAACTAACAAATTAGAAGTACAAATAGTTAACAAATGAACAAAACAAACAGAATAGAGCATCCAAGACTTGTGGAGAACGTCAAATTGTCCAATATACATGTAATCAGAATTCTAGAGAGAAGAGAAAAAAAGAGGCAGAAATATATTTAAAGCAATGACTAAGGATTTTAAAATTAATGACAGACATCAAATAGTATATGCAAGAAATTTAGAGAACACCAATAAGGATATAGTATCATATTAAAAATCTTTAAAAAAGATAAAGATAAAGCTTGAAGATGGACAGAGGAAAAAAGACATACTATTAAGGAGAAACAAGTGTAAGAGTTATAGCACACTCTCAGAAACTTGGATATACACAAATAACTGAATAGCACAGGAGATGGAATAAATGGTAAAATAAATTTCTATTTTCTTGTTTTTAATTTCTCAAAAATATAATAAAGAAAAAACATCAATATATGGTGAGTTTCTATATATGTAAGAGTAAAATACATGATCACGATAGCACAAAGGATGAGAGGGAAGAATTGGAAACGTTATTATAAGGTTCTACTACTGTATGTGGAATAATATAATAGAACTTGAAAGTAGTCAGATTATTCTAAGATGCATATTGCAAACCATAATGCAACCACTAAAACACTTTTACAAGAGGAATAAATAATAAATGAATACAAAAGAGAAAATGGAATCACATGCTCAGACAGACTGAGAGAAAGCAGAAGAAAAAAACAGCAAATGGAACAGATAGCAAAACAAGAGATTCTAATTCAATATACTTTGAATTTTAATTCTATAAACCAGGAATTGGCAAACATTTTTTTGGTAAAGAAACAGAAGGTAAATATTTTAGACTTTACTGACCATAATTTCTGTCACAACTACTCAACAGTGGTGAACCTGTAGTGAGAAACAGCTGAGGACAAAATATAAATGAAAGACCTTGGCTGTGCTGCAAAGAACTTTATTTAAATTTCATATAATTTAAAATTTAAATTTCCTAAAATTTAAATGTTATGTAATTTTTATACATCACAAAATATTATTTAATTCCTGAGGTTTTATAATTCATTTTTTTTTTTGAGACAGAGTCTTGCTCTGTCGCTCAGAGTGGAATGCAGTGGTGCGATCTCTGCTCACTGCAACCTCTGCCTCCTGAGTTCAGGCAGTTCTTCTGCCTCAACCTCCTGAGTGGCTAGGATTACAGGTGCCTACCACCACACATGTTTAAATTTATTTTTTAAATTTTTAATAGAGATAGGCAGGTCAGGCTGGTCTCAAACTCCTGACCTGAAGTGATCTTCCTGTCTCAGCCTCCCAAAGTGCTGGGATTACAGGTGTAAGCCACTATGCCAGTCCTTAGTTCTTATAAATACAACACCTATGCTTAGCTTGTGTGCCATGTCAAAAAAAGAGCACTGGGCTGAATTTGGCCCATAAACATTATGTGACAATTCCTGGTTTAAACATATAAATTAAAAGGCAGATTGTCACACTATATAAAAATCCAGGTACATTTGTATGCTCTCTATAAAAAATCAATTTTAATTATAAAACAAAAACAAGTTAAAAATTAAAATATTAAAGAATTTTTTAAAAACCTTTCATGGAAACACTAACCAAAAAAAAAGTTGAAGTAACTATATTAATTTTATACAAAGTTGACTTTAGGACAAATAATATTGAGTGATAAAGAGGAACATTAAATAATAATAAGGCTTCAAGACTCCCCAAAAAAAAAATCTTAAATAACTATGCACCTAAAAACAAAATTTCAAAATACATAAAGCAGGAGCTGACAGATGAAAAAGGAGAAATAAAAAAATACAGAATTATAGCTGGAGACTTCAACAGTCATATATCAGGAATTGATGAAACAAGTTGGGGCGAAATCAGGAAGGACATAGAATACCCAAACAACATTATCAACAAAATTTACCTAATTGGCATTTATAGAACACTCCATTCAACAACAGAATACACATTGTTGTAGAGCACATGGAACATTCACAGAAATAGATCTGATTGGCAAGTTTGCAAGATACATGATAAATATTCAAAAGACAATTATATTTCTACCAACAGTGAACAGCTGCAATTTGAAATTTAAAAATATAACTTAAAATTGCTCAAAAATAAAATGTTTATTAGGTATAAATCAAACAAAAATGTGCAGATTTTCAATGCTAAATACTACAAAACCCTGGTGAAAGAAATAGAAGAATATCTAAATACATGAAGAAATATACCATGTGTTCCAGGATTAGAAGACTCGATGTCATTAAGACACCAATTATTCCCAATTTGATCTAGATTTAATGCAATTCCAATCAAAACTCCAGAAAACTTTTTAAAAGCTATCAATAAGCTAATTCTGAAACTTACGTGGAAAATCAAAGGAATTAGAAGAGCTAAACAAATATTGAAAAAGGAGGATTAATTTAGAAGGCATACTATCTGCATACTATCTGATTCAAGACTTACTATAAAGCAACAGTAACAATTCAGTATTGTATTGGTGAAAACAAAGATATATATCAATTAAACCTGATTGAGAGTACAGAAGTTGGCCCACACAATTATAGACCACTATATTAGTCAACTGGTTTTAACAAAGATGCAAAGGAAACCAAATAGAGAAAGGGTAGTCCTCTCAACTAATGAGGCTGGAACATTAGAAAAGTCATATGCAAAACAACAATAACAACAAAATCTTCAACACATAATATCTTTTACAAACAATAACTAAAACTATAAAACTTGTAGAAGATGGGAGCTAATCTTCATAAACTTGGGTTTGGCAATGAGTGTTTACATACAATACCAAAAATATGAACTGTATTAGTCCATTTTCATGTTGCTGATAAAGACATATCTGAGACTGGGCAATTTACAAAAGAAAGAGGTTTAATGAACTTACAGTTCCACATGGTTGGGGAGGCCTCACAGTCATGGTGAAAGTTAAGGAGGAATGAGTGTCGTCTTATATGGATGGTAGCAAGCAAAGAAAGAGAGCTTGTTGGGGGGGGGGGGCGCCTCTTTTTAAAACCATCAGATCTCATGAGACTTATCAACTATCACGAGAACAGCACGAGAAAGATCAGCTTCCATGATTCAATTACCCTCCACCAGTTCCCTCCCATAACATGTGAGAATTTAAGAGATGTGTGTGGGAACACAGCCAAACCATATAATTCCACACCTGGCCCCTCCCAAATCTCATGTCCTCACATTTCAAAACAATCATGCCTTCCCAACAGTCCCCCAAAGTCTTAATTCGTTTCAGCATTAACTCAAAAGTCCACAGTCCAACATCTCATCTGAGACAAGGCAAGTCTCTTCTGCCTATGAGCCTGTAGAATCAGAAGCAAGCTAGTAATTTCCTAGATACAATGGGGTCCAAGTATAGGGTAAATACAGCCATTTCAAATGGGAGAAATTAGCTAAAACGAAGGAGCTATAGGCCCCATATGAGTCAGAAATCCAGCAGGGCAGTCAAATATTAAAGCTCCAAAATGATCTTCTTTGACTCCATGTCTCACATCCAAATCATGATGATGCAAGAGATTGGTTCCTATGGTATCGGGCAGTTCCATCCCTGTGGCTTTGCAGAGTACAGACTCCCTCCTGGCTGCTTTCACAAGCTGGTGTTGACTGTCTGTGGCTTTTCCAGGAGCATGGTGCAAGCTGTTGGTGTATCTACCATTCTGGGAACTGGAGGACTGTGGCTTTCTTCTCTCAGCTTCACTAGGCAGTGCCACAGTGGGGACTCAGTGTGGGGGCTCTGATCCCACATTTCCCTTCCACACTGCCTTAGCAGAAGTTCATCCTGAGGGCCCTGCCCCTGCAGCAAACTTCTGCCTGGACATCCAGGTGTTTCCATACATACTCTGATGTCTAGGCAGAGGTTCCCAAACCTCAATTCTTGACTTCTGTGCACCCGCAGGCTCAACACCACTTGGGAGCTGCCAAGGCTTGGGTCTTGTACCCTCTGAAGTGAGCTGTACCGTGGCCCCTTTTAGCTATGGCTACAGTGGCTGGGACACAAGGCACCTAGTCCCTAGGCCACACACAAGAGGGGAGCCCTAGGCCTTTCCCACAAAATTATTTTTTTCTTAGGCCTCTAGGCCTGTGATGGGAGGGGCTCTGATATGCCCTGAAGACATTTTCCCCAGTGTCTTAGTGATTAATATTTGACTTCTCATTACTTATGCAAATTTCTGCAGCTGGCTTGAATTTCTCCTCAGAACATGGGTTTTTCTTTTCTGTCCCATCGTCAGGTTGCAGATTTTCTGAACTTTTATGCTCTGTTTCCCTTTTAAAATTGAATGCTTTTGATAGCACCCAAGTCACCTCTTGAATGCTTTGCTGCTTGGAAATTTCTTCTGCCATATACCCTAAGTATCTCTCTGAAGCTCAAAGTTCCACAGATCTCTAGGGCAGGGACAAAATTCCATCAGTCTCTTTGCTAAAACCTACCAAGGGTCATCTTTACTCTAGTTCCCAATAAGTTCCTCATCTCCATCTGAGACCTCAGCCTGGACCTTGTTGTCCATATTGCTATTAGCCTTTTGGTCAAAGCCATTCAACACGTCTCTAAGGAGTTCCAAACTTTTTCACATTTTCCTGTCTTCTTCTGAGCCCTCCAGACTGTTTCAACCTCTGCCTGTTACCCAGTTCCAAAGTTGCATCCACTTTTTGGGTATCTTTTCAGCAGTGCCCCACTCTGCTGGTACCAATTTACTGTACTAGTCCATTTTCATGCTGCTGATAAAGACATACCCGTGAGTGGGTAATTTATAAAGAAAATGAGGTTTAATGGACTCACAGTCCCATGTTGCTGAGGAGGCCTCACAATCATCGTGGAAGGTGAAAGGCACGTCTTATATGGTGGCAGGCAAGATAGAATGAGAGCCAAGTGAAAGGGGAAACCTCTTATAAAACCATCAGATCTTGTGAGACTCATTCACTACCACGTGTACAGTATGAGGGAACTGCCCCCATGATTCAACTATCCCCCACCAGGTTCCTCCTACAACACTTGGGAATTATGGGAGCTACAATTCAAGATGAGATTTTGGTGGGGATACAGCTAAACTGTATTATGAACCATAACAGAAAAATTGATGTTACTCTTTATTAAAATTAAAATTTTGCTCTGCAAATGCTGTTAGAAAATGAATTGACAAGCCACAGACTGAAAGGAAATATTTACAAACCATATGTCTAATAAATGGCTTATTTCCATAATATATAAATAATTATTAAAATTTCATAAGAACAATTAAATAGGGAAAGAATTTTAACAGGCACTTCAGCAAAGAAGATATACAAATGGCAAATAAACATACAGGAAGGTGCTCAATATCACTATTTATTAGGGAAATGAAAATGAAAACCACAATGTAATATCACTGCCTATTAGAATGAGTAACATCAAAAAAGCTGACAATATCAAGTGCTGATGACAGCACGGAGCAGTGAGAACTCTTCATTGCTGGTGGAAATGGAAAATAGTGCAGTCACTTTGGAAAACAAAGTATCTTACAGAGTTAAACACACAGCTACCAGAGAACCTGGTGATTTTATGCATAGATCTTTACCCAAGAGTATTGAAAACATGTTCATACAAAAAACTTTCTGTGAATATTTATAATCCCCAAAATTTGGAAATAATCCAGGTATTTTTCCACAGGTAAGCAGATAAAACTGTAGTACATCCATCCAAGGAAATATTGTTCACAATAAAAAGGAATGAGCCATTGATTCATGCAACAACGAGAATGAATGACTCTTAAATGCCTTTTGCCTAATGAAAGAAAACACACTCAAAAGACCACATAATATATGATTTTATTTATTTGGTATTCTGTTAAAGCATAGGGGTGATTGCCAGGGATTGAAGATGAGAGTAAGGGTTGACACAAAGGGGTTGCATAAGAGAATTTTTAGGGTGTTTGATCTGTTTTGTAGGGTACTGTGGTAACGGTTACAAGATTCCATTTATTTGTCAAAAGCCATAGAATAGTAAACAAGTAAGGGTGCTTTAACAGTAAATGACAAAGTACAGCTTTCATTATATGCAAATTTTAAAATTAACCAAAATTTGGGGAAGTCTAGAATAAAATGTAGACTTGAAAAAATAAATCCTAAGTGTGTAATATAACATATGATATATCCTCACTGAAGGTGATGGGGAGAAAATAACTTACTTAAATTTTTTTGGTTTCATCTAAATACTATAAAGCCAAAAATTAAAAATTGTGCACAAAAATCTGTATTCTAGTGGATCAATTTGTTTTTCATAATGGTATGTTTTTGTTACCCTTAAACTGCTTTATGAATGTAAACTAGGATTGAACACATAAGTAAATATACTGTGGATGATAACAGCCAGGTTTCTCACTGTCAAAGAAAGAAGTTACTAATAAGCAAGGCAGGGGAGGCTAGAATAAAACTTGTAGTGCCAGATTAGAATTGGTAATATCAATATTAATTCCTGTTTCTTTTAATATACATTCAAAGAGATATAAACAGAAATAAATACTATAGTGGCTAGATTTAGCAACAGAAAATACAGGACAATCAGGTAAATGTGAATTTCAGATAAACAAAAGGTTAAGTTTTTTTTTTCTTTTGAGACCGAGTCTCACTCTGTCACCCAGACTGGAGTACAGTGGTGTGAGCTCAGCTCACTGCAAGCTCCACCTCCCAATTTCATGCCATTCTCCTGCCTCAGCCTCCCAAGTAGCTGGGACTGCAGGCGCCTGCCACCATGCCCGGCTAATTTTTTGTATTTTTAGTAGAGATGGGGTTTCACCGTGTTAGCCAGGATGGTCTCGATCTCCTGACCTCGTGATCCACCTGCCTCAGCTTCCCAAAGTGCTGGGATTACAGGCGTGAGCCACTGTGCCTGGCCAAAATGTAAATTTTTAGTATAAGCATGCCCCATGCAATATTTGGGACACACATATACCAAAAAAAAAAAAAACAAACATTGTTTATTTGAAAGTCACATTTAACTAGCAATCTTATATTTTATTTGGCAATCCTAAATTATAGATATATGTGTATGTAAATAGGTAAATATACATATTTAAATGTCCTAGCTCTCTTTGCTAAGATGGCCTGAAAGTATGAAACCCCAGTAGCAACGAGAACAAACAGCCAGATCTTGGTCTGTGAATGTTATTCTCCAGGAAAATGAACAAAGGTTCCTTGAGGGAATAGCTGATTCAAGATTTGGGACAGAAAAATAAAGATGAGCCTTGGGTGCTTTCTAATTCCAGAAAGTTAGGAAGTGCTTAAATCAAAACAAATAAAAAAAAAGTAATAGAAAGATGAGGGTATGTCAAAATACACTGGAGCTCTGCTGAAAGAGCTCCCAGCAGCCAAAATGCAAAATTTAATCAACAAAATCAATAACATTAGTATTGGATTGTAAAACAAAGAATAAAATAAATATCTAAAGGTGCACACTGGTATAAATAATGACTGAATAAATGAATGAATGAATGCACAAGTAAATAAACAGAGACAAATGACATTTTTTACAGAAGAATTCAAATTAATAAATGTAGAAGAAATGAAGGAAATAGAAAATAATTACTAGTACATTGTTGTAGTAATTATTATAGACAAGACACTGATGCTTGCTAAAATCAGTGGATGAAATATTAAGTAGTAACAGGATGTTGGCAGAGCCTTACAGTATCTCCACCAAAATATTTATTGATTACTGTGATGTTATAGCATATGTCCACAAATTCTTTGATAGTTTTCCTACCGGGGGTGGAGCTTAGTTCCCCTCTCCTTGAGGGCACTGGACTTATAGATTTGCTTCTATCAGAGTTTAGAAAGGAAAAAATAATTTCTACACTGGAAAAAACGTCAAATACTACCTTAACCAAATGATGATAGATAGTTAATATCACCAGAATAAGTCGTGCTGAAATTATGCACACCAGATATGATGCTATAAGGAATAAATATCACTTCTTTGACAGTCTTTCAAAAAATTCATAACCTCCATATAGTCATCCAACAGCAGAAGTCAAAGCTAAATTGAGGGATATTCTACAGAATGTCTGGCCAGTACTCTTCTCAAGTGTGAAGTTCATGAAAGATAAGAAAAGACTAAAAAACTGTTACAGATTGAAGGACACCAAGGAGATATGACTATACAGTAAGCTGAATTGAATTCTGGAACAGAAAAAAAGACATCAGTGCCAAAATTGGTAATATCTGAATAAAGCTTACAGTTTAGAGTAAGGATTGGCAAACTATAACCCATGGGCCAAATTTAGCCCATCACAGGTTGTTGTACAGTTTTAGGAGAACAGAGCTGTGCCTGTGCTACATATTGTCTATGACTGCTTTCACACTTTTTTTACAATGTCAGAGTTGAGTAATTGCAACTGAGGCCATCTGGCCTGCAAAGCCTAAAATATTTACTATCTGACCCCTTTACAGAAAAAAACTTGCAAACCCTTGGTATGTGGGAACATCTGTGTACTATTTTTTGTCAGTCTTCCATAAGTCTAAAATAATTTCGCTATAAGAAATTTAAAAATATCATTTGAGTTACATCACCAGTACATTTTTAGTTACCATTGTTTGAGAGCTTTCTATTTTTGAAACACTTTTTGCCAAGTGCTTTTTAGGCCCTACCCTAATTAATTCTCTCAGCAGCACTTTATAGCTCATCTTGTTATTAGCCTCATTTTACACCTAAAGAAACTAATGTTAATTAAGTCAAATGACTTGCTGAAGGGTATAGCGTTTACATGGTTAAAATGCAGAACCAGGGTTTAAATCAGAGTCAGCCTGAGACTAAAGTTCATATGACCCTTTTCTATCAGTTTTATTCCTGGGTCAACTGCAGAGACCCAGTGTCACCTTCAGAGAAGGCTCAGAAGTCATTTATCCAATGTATTGAAAACCTACTAGTGCTAGCTACTGTATATGTATGAGATCAACATGCCCAACACAATTTTCTGAGATCCATGGAATGATAATTCTACTACTCAAAGCTCCTCCTGAGCTTGTTCTTACTCTTTCAAAGCTCTGATTAAATGTACAATTATGTATATCTCTTACCTTCCCAGTTACACTGCCTATATAAGCATAAATTATATGCCAAAGAGTAAATTTACATGCCTTTCCCTTCCCCTTGTATTTTAGTCTGTTTTCTGCTGCTACGACAGAATACCACAACCTGTATAATTTATAAAGAATAGAAAATTATTGGGCTTATGTTTCTGGAGGTTGGGAAGTCCAAGAGCATGGCACTGACATCTTGTGAAGGTCATTCCATGATGGAAGTGGGAAAGCAGAAGCAAGTGTGAGAAACAGAGTAAGGCACTGGGGCCAGACTTGCTTTATAACAACATACTCTCATTGTAAATAAACCACTTCTACAATAATGATGTTAATCCATTCATGAGGGTTCTGCCCAAATTAACTAATCACATCTTATTAGGCCCCATCTCCCCACATTGTTGCATTGGGGATTAAATTTTCAACAGATTAACTTTTGAGGGACACATTCAAACTAAAATTGTTAATGATTGTGAAACATTGTTACCTACTTTATCAGTCCTTAGTGGCCTCTGTGTCTGTTTGCCACCTGTGGTATCATCAGCAGCATTTGTGCTTGATTATTTTTTAACTTTGTATTAAAAATCAGACACATTCCAGACTTTACTTGAATCTTATCTATAGTCCAATTTTCTCAAAAATTCTTGAAGTGACAAGTTAGGTTTTTTCAGGTCATTAAAAATGATCTATCATGCTTGTAATCCCAGCACTTTGGGAGGCTGAGTTGGGTGGATCACAAGGTGAAGAGATCAAGACCATCCTGGCCAACATCGTGAAAACCCTTCTCTACTAAAAATACAACAATTAGCTGAGCGTGGCGTGGCACACCTGTAGTCCCAGCTACTCAGGAGGCTGAGGCAGGAGAATCACTTGAACCCGGGAGGCAGAGATTGCAGTGAGCTGAGATCATGCCACTGCACTCCAGCCTGGTGACAGAGCAAGACTCCATCTCAAAAAAAAAGATCTTAAACACCAGTTTCTTAAGTTTGTTGGTTACATGCATTCCCAATAAATTCAAGTTCGCTATACTTATTGCTTCTAATTATGAAATATTACTAATAATTTATAAGTACATCCTTTGAAAACTACCCTTGGAAAAACAAATCTCTTTGATATGTGCTAATACCGAAGAGTATTTCTGGATACTGCAGTTTCCATTAGTTAAAAGGGATAAAGAAAACAAACAATCTCTTTGTTCTCTGTGGATACTTTATGGTTGGGTAAGGGGGGAACTTTTCCTTTGAAGGCCTGTAATGCATTTTAGTAGAAGTTTACCTCTGGTTGACAGTGTATTTTTAATATGAAGGTAAATGACTGACAAAACATTAAGCCCCATTGAACACAGTTAAGAATTCTTGTTATCTGAGCCCTGGTTTGACATGAGCAGAGAATGATTTTATTTGAGCCATACTTAGTATTCATGACAGGTTCACTTTTAAACACCAGATCTCTGATGGCTTTGCTGCCTTTACATGATGCTTCAAGTCCCTTGTAAGAAGATTCAATACCTGTCTGGGTTTGACAAGTAAAGCTTAAGTTTTAATAACTCCAAAGGTATGCCATAGCTGGAAAGGAACTGATGAGATGTTTAAAAGAATTTTTTGAAAAAAACCTTATTACTTTCGTATTAGAACACACTTAAATAAAAAGCAGCTAGTGTTATTACTGTCAAGAAGCACATTTTCTAACTATACATTTCTATGGCAACATCTCTATCTATAGCAACACTTCACTGTTTAATTTGAGATGTAGACTATGTGAGGGACATGTTTCATTAGTCTATTCTGCAGGCAACTCCTAAACCTGCTTAGGAGTGATAACAGCATAGAGACACGATT
Source organism: Homo sapiens (assembly GCF_000001405.40). Classification (NCBI taxonomy): domain Eukaryota; kingdom Metazoa; phylum Chordata; class Mammalia; order Primates; family Hominidae; genus Homo; species Homo sapiens. Next base: position 96,328,709 of record NC_000006.12, on the reverse strand, counting down.
AAGAAACCTAACATGACATTTTGTTGAGTGGAGGATAAATAATTGTAGCTGCTAAAGTGATTCCTTAGTTACTACTAAGGAATAAACCCAGATTTGGTATTTGAAGTCCTCCTCAGAAAGTATCCACATATAAATGATTTCCCCAAATTCCTTGGGGTAACTTGTTGTCAGTATCTCTATAATACTCAACATCCTCTTTCTCTAATACTCATCATCCTTTTTCTTTGAAGTGTACTGAATCTTTATTGAGATTTTTGTGACTTCCTAGGGGCCATATACTTTCATTTTTTTAACTTTTGTTTTAGGTTTGGGGGTACATGTGAATGTGTGTTACACAGGTAAACTTGTGTCACAGGAATTTGTTGTACAGATTATTTCATCACCCAGATATTAAGCTCAGTGCCCAATAATTATCTTTTCTGCTCCTCTCCCTTCTCCCACCCTCAAGCAGACCCAGCGTCTGTTTCCTTCTTTGTGTTTATAAATAGTTCTCATCACTTAGCTCCCAGTTATAAGTGAGAACATGCATTATTTGGTTTTCTGTTTGTGTGTTGGTTTGCTAAAGATAAAAGCCTCCAGCTCCCTCCATATTCTTGTAAAAGACATAATCTCATACTTCTTAGTGGCTGCATAGTATTCAATGGTGTATATGTAATGAATTTTATTTATCCAATCTGTCATTCATGGGCATTTAGGCTGATTACATGTCTTTGCTATTGTGAATAGTGTTGCAATGAGCATTCACGTGCATGTGTCTTTATGGTAGAATGATTGATATTCCTCTGGGTACATACCCAGTAATGGGGTTACTGGGTTGAATGGTAGTTCTGCTTTTAGCTCTTTGAGGAATCACTTTCCACAATGGTCAGACTAATTTACACTCCCACCAACAGTGTATAAGTGTTCCCTTTTCTCCACAAACTCACCAGCATCTGTATTTTACTTTTTATTTTTTAATAATAACCATTCTGACTGGTGTGAGAAGGTATTCAGTGTGGTTTTCATTTGCATTTCCGTAATGATCAGTGATATTGAGCTTTTTTCATATGCTTGTTGGCAGCATGCATGTCGTCTTTTGTAAAGTGTCTGTTCATGCCTTTTGCCCACTTTTTAATGGGGTTGTCTGTTTTTCTCTTGTAAATTCAAGTTCCTTATGAATATTAGACCTTTGTCAGACATAGTTTGCAAAAATTTCCTCTCATTCTGTAGGTTTTCTATTTACTCTGTTGATAGTTTCTTTTGCTGTGTAGAAGCTCTTTAGTTTCATTTGATCCCACTTGTCAATTTTTGCTTTTCTTGCAATTGCTTTTGATGTCTTTGTCATGAAATCTTTGCCTGTTCCTATGTCCTGAATGGTATTGCCTAGGTTGTCTTCTAGGGCTTTTATAGTTTTGGGTTTTAAGTCTTTAATTCATGTTGAGTTGATTTTTGTATATGGTGTAAGGAAGGGGTCCAGCTTCAGTTTTCTGCATATGGCTAGCCAGTTATCCCATCACCATTTATTAAATAGAAAATCTTTTCCCTATTGCTTGTTTTTGTCAGGTTTGTCAAAGATCAGATGTTTGTAGGTGTGCAGTTTTATTTCTGCATTCTCTATTCTGTTCCATTGATATGTATCTGTTCTTGTACCAGTACCGTGCTGTTTTGGTTACTGTAGCCCTGTAGTATAGCTGGAGTCAGGTAACGTGACACCTCCAACTTTGTTCTTTTTGCTTAAGATTGCCTTGGCTATTCAGTCTCTTTTTTGGTTCCAGTTTACTGCTTTTGTCCTTTAAAATATTTTTTTTTCTGTCATGTTTGTGTTGTACCTGGTGCGTGACATGATCTGAATGTGAAATTTAACACCTTTCCTTAAATTTTCCAAATAAACAACTCAAAGAAAGATATTTGAGTAGGTGAATTTGGTCAAGGTGTGCTATGATGAAGGAATGTGACAGCAGTATAAGAGAGTAGATCCTAAGCGTTCTCACCAGAAAAAGTAAAGAAAAAAGGTAACCATGTGAGGTAATGGATATATCAATTAGCTTTATTTTGCCAATCATTTCACACTGTACGTGTATATAAAATCATCAAGTTGTACACATTAAATATATACAATTAAAATAAAAAACAAAAGTAAATTAATCCTGTTTTTAGAAGTCCCTTGGCTATTTCAGTAATGAGGCTCCATTTGCCACTTACACTACTTTACCTTCTCTTTTCCTTCATCACTCTTTTCCAAATTCTGTACCTTCCTCTTGACTACCCACCCCCTGCCCCAAGCCCACTTCATCTGAGTTTCAGATATCTGTAAGCAAATACAGGCCCCTTAGTAGAAAGAATTTTGGTGATAGCTTTTAAGATATTTACTCCATTATACTTGGATATCAGAACAGTTTCATTTAAAGGGAGAGTAGTCATCAATATATTTTGCTTTATCATGATAAACCCATTGGCAGTCTGACTCAAATTCTAGCTCACCAAATTATTACATGTGCCATTTCTGATCTGCCTTGAATGGAAAGATTACCTCCCTCATATTCTGACTGTATAATTAAAAGATAAGTGCTTCATACATGCTAAGTTCATTTCCACCCTTTCCCTACACATTTCATGGGCTCAAAATTTGATCATTAATCAGGAAAGTTATCTTCTCTAAGACAATACCATCTCCTCTTGGCTTCCATAATGTTGATGATCGTCTTTCTGTCTACACTGGCACACCTGACAGGGGCAATTTTTCTACTTAGTTTTCCCATTCTCAAACTTAGTTTTGCCACTCTCTCTGGCATTGGGTTTGGATTGAATACCTTACCTGTCTGTAGTGAATTATTTCTCTGTGACTGTTCCTTTCTTAGCATTGGTATAATGTCAGATTCTGTAGAAGTGTGAGTTAGGCTGCATTGCTATATGCCAGGTGGTGTCTCAGTGGCTAATGCTGGGATAGGACAGACCCACAACGTTAAGTTGGCCCTTGGGACTCTGCAGAATGTAGATTCTTGACTGCTGTAGATGCTGCTTTTCTGCTTTCTTGAGTCTACTACTCTTTTGTCCCTAGCTAGTATCTCTAGCAGTCATTCCTGAAATAGGTTTACTAATTATAGTTTTTGATTATATATTGTCAAAGTGTCTCCTTTTTATTCACTCTTTTACTTTTATCTCATGGTGTCACGAAGTCTCCTAACAAAATAATATAGTAAAATTATGGTGTACTTGAGCACAATTTCAAAATCTACATAGGCTCCAGAAATGTGCCAGCAGGTTATTTACCTTGGGGTAGACTAGTTAAATTGCAGATATTAGCATGATGTAAACTTGTTACATTGTTGAAGTTAAGAAAAAGACGAAGTTTAGTGTTACAGATTGCCACTTTGGTTTTTAGTGCCTTGTATTGGGAGGGAAAAGGTTTAGTGTGTAGAAAGAGATTTACAGCTACTTGTATTAAAATCTACAATTTTAATAAATTGAATTTAAAAACAACTCTTTAAGCCCAACTTAATAAATCTTATTTTTTAAAAAAATATTAATTTTTTGCTTAAATTAAAATACTAATCTTATTTTTCTTCTATTAACGTTCGATTTGCTTACAGATTTACCTGACTAAATTTTCTAGATTTTAATACAATTTTAAAAGTTGATTAATGAATAACTTTAACTATTTCACATCAAAATCTTAAATCTATCTATTTTTCTTAAGAGCACTAAATATAGAACAAGACAGATTTATGATGAATAAAAAGTACTTTATAAACACAAATATATTTTATGATTCTAAAAATATATACATGTGGACTAAATAAATTCTATTTTATTTAGCTTTTAAATACTGTTTTAAATAAAAACTACATATTTTATATAAATATCATAACTATAAACAACTCAAATTATCTTAAAATATTTAAAATATAAAAGGTAAACCTAATATGATAATAGTCAAGATTCAGTTTAGAATCTAGAGCTACTCTGGGTATTTTTACACAAAAAAGGATCAAATATAGGGAAAATCTTTGAAAGGGCTGAGTAGCGTGTCACTGGAATTACTGAGTTTAAAAACAAACCACAGTCAGCTAAGAGCCAGAGGTTCTCATACTATCCCAACCTTGCCTGAACACCTAAGAAATGGATGACTAGAAGGAATATGAGTTTAGCTGCCGCTGTTTCTTTCTACCCTTGTTTCTACGATACTTCTTGTCAGGAGAATACAGTGACAGAAGTGTTTTCTACCTCATTTTTACCTTCCAAATCTCCTGAGATTATATCTAACTAGTAAAAATTATTTCATATTTAGAGTCCTAGCTACAAGGGCACCTGGGAGATGTGATTTTTATCTCTTGTGTCTACATGGAAAGGTAGAATGCAGCCTAGTGAACCAAATCAATCATGTCCACTAGAAGCCCATCAAATTCCCTAAATGCTAAAGTTACAAATTCAGGTTGTGGGTTCTGGCCATTGGTTCAGAATTCTAGACCACAATTCCAGGAAGATTATGCTCAACAATACTTATTTATTACTTGGATCCATTTTTGTAGTTTGGCTTTATCTCCTGTATCAACAAGGGACCTCAAACCCAAGACTTTCTTCTAAGATTTAACGTAAGTTTTAAACTGAGACAATAAGGATCCCCAACCCAATTTTATAATAACCTTATAGTAATTGCTTTCCCAAGTTCTATCATCTGACATTATGTATTTGAACTCTCACCCTTCCCACAGATCGCAATACATTTTTTATGGCCCAGTACAAAAGAAATAATTTTGCCAGCAGTAAAACGTAATCTCTGTTACAGTGAAAGACTTTATAACATGATTTTACTCAATAGTGTTCCTTTTGCTTATGAGATAATAATTCTCTTTAGGAATATGAGATTTAATTCTTGAAAACTATTCTGTTTCAATTATGATAATAGACTACTGGTGGTTCATAACTGTAATGTCCATATTATCCTGGAAAATTGAATTTGAATTGTATAGTCATTATGGTAAGATATTGACTTAAGCAGTAATTGCTTCTTTGCAATTGGGTTTGATCTTTTGCTAATATAACTGATCACTTTCAGTTGTTTATTGGCTGTTTGTTAATGTGCTTACAACTCAACTTGACTTTAAGTGTCTTCAGGACAAACTCTCATCTTTTGCCCTTACAGCATCCAACAGAAATGCTATGTACATTGTATATTAGTCCTTTCTAAACTTTTTTGAAATTTTTTAATTTTATTGATATAAAAATTTCACTTATTGAATATTATTTAAAATTCCAAATAAACTAAATGTATGGCTCATAATTAATTTTAAAAAATGGTCAATTCTGAAGAAAAACATTTTAATCTTAAAGGCTATGTACAGTTGGCCATTCATATCTGCCAGTTCTGCATCTGTGGGTTGAACAACTACATCAAAAATATTCAGAAAAATATAAAAATAATGATAAAAAAATAAAATAAAAATAATACAAATAAAAATGATACACTATAATGACTTTTTACATAGCATTTACATTGTATTAAGTATAAGTAATCTAGAAATGATTAAAGTATATGAGAGGAGATGTAGATTATATGCAAATACTATGACATTTTATATAAGGTACTTAAGCATCCACAAATTTTGGTATCCTTGTTGGTGGGGAGGGGATTCCTGGAACCAATTTCCTCCTGATACTGAGGGTCAACTATAGATCCTTTTATGTTAATTTTGCACTTGCCCCCAATATATAGATCCTCTATCAACTGAGGATATATTAATTTCATCAAAAATAAATTTACTGTATTTGAGTGAGTCTATTTCTGGGCTCTCTATTCTGTTCTATTGATTTATTTGTTTATTTTTCACCAATACCATGCTATCCTGTTTACTGTAGCTTTATAATAATTCTTGACATTGTGAAGTTTGAGTCCTCCAACTTTGTTCTTTTCTTCCTTATTGTGTTGGCTATTCTAGGTTCTTTGTCATTTTATACACATTTTTAAATAAGATTGTTGATATCTAAAAAATACCTTGCAGTCCTTTTGATTGGAGTCCTGATAAGTCTATAAATACTTTTATGAATAATTTACATCTTAACAATATTTAGTCTTCCAATTTATGAGAATGGAATAGCTCTCAATTAATTTTTGTAAATATATATTTTATCAGTATTTTGTAGTTTTCCACATAAAGACCCTGTCCATATTTTATTAGATTTTTACTTAAATATTTCATTTTGGGGGGCGCTGTTGTAAATGATATGTGTGTGTGTATTTAAATTTCAAATTCAAATTTCTTATTGTTAGTATATAGAAAAGCAATTGAGATTTGTATGTTGACCTGGTATACTGTGACCTAGCTATACTTGTTTATTACTTCTAGGAGGTTTTTTGTTTTGTTTTGCTTTTTTGCATATTGTTTGCTGTTTTCTACATAGACAATATGTCATCTGTGAGCAAAGACAGTTTTATTTCTTCTTTTTGAATCTCTATATATTTTTTATATATTTTTGTTTTATTAGAATGGCTAAGATTTTATAAGTATGATGTTGAAAAGGAGTGGTGAGAAAGAACATTCTTGTCTCAGTCATAATATTTAAGGGAGAGATGTGTCCATTCGGTTTTATGTTAGCTGCGAATTTTTTCTAGATGTTCTTTATCATGTTGAGGAAGCTTCTCTGATTCCTACTTTGCTAAGAGTTTTCATCATGAGTGGATATTGGATTTTGTCAAATGCTTTTTCCTGTCAATTAATATGATTGTATCATTTTTTTCTTTAGGGTGTTGATGTGGTGGACCACATTGACTGATTTTTTTTTTAAAAAAATAACCACCATTCCATTATCATAACTGAAACAAATAATAATTTCTTAATATGATTACATATATTGTGTTCAAATTTCTCCGATAGTCCCAATTTCTTTTTAAACATTTAGTTAGTCTGAATGAGAACCCAGACAAGGTCCACACATTACATTTGTTGATACATACATTGACTTAGAGGATATTAACATCTTCTAAGTAAATTAGTCACTCCAACTTTCAAAAGTACTGCTGTTAAGAAACTGCCATGGTGTCATTTAATGATTTTTTTATCCTTCTATTTTCTGTAAACAGATAGACAGCAGTGCTTGATCAGATTCAGGTTCAGTTTTTTGGCAAGAATATCTTATGAGTGTTTCTGTACTCTTCCTACTGCAGCAAACCGGGAAGCACATTATATCACCAAAAGCTTTTCTCTCTTTTGTGATGTTAAGGTGGGTCTGTGGTTTTAAGTATTGAAAGTCTGATCCATCTATTTTAAAGTTCCCCATCAGCTAATAGTTTTAGCAACTGTTAATTATCATTAGGTAGAGCAATGATTTTATATAGATTCTATTATTATATCTATGTTTGTTAGATGTAATTCTCTAAAGAAGGATTTTTCTTCAATTGCCAAGATATAGTGCATACAAGATACTTTTTTAAAAAGCCATCATTGGTTATTTTTTAATGTTGAACCAGCCTTGCATAGTGAGAATATATCTGTTAGTTGAAGTGTGCATATTTTTTTTTACATTGTTGGATTGTTTGCTATTCTTTTGTGGATTACAATGGGAAATACATGAAGATTCTTTGTACTATCTGGATTAAAGAAATTTTTGAAAATGCAGATTTCCTGACATAGAGCAAATGCTTGCGAGGGCCATCAGAATTTGAGAATTATAGAAAATGTGATTTATTTTATATCACTGACTCGCAAAACCTGTAGATTTGATTTCATCTTACTTCAATCTAATGAGATTGGTAAATGTTTGTCATTTCTCAGTTTAGGATGCTGACTACAGCTGAGGAAGAATATAAGCAAATTTCTTAAGTCTGTTTTGAACCCAGGTTTTCCATGCCTTAAAATCCATGCTGTTTTTGTCACCACAATAGCTAGCTTTGCTAAGAGTAGAGGAGGTGGAAGGTTGATACATTAAAAGCCACAAAGCAAGTCAGTAGTAAAATTTCAAAATGAAATATGTATTTTTGATATCTGCATTCAAACTATCAGTCTAAGGTATTTAATCAAGGTAATATATGTATTTGTGTATATACATACAGAGACACACAAAGGACTGAAAATAAACTTTCTAAGCCATTTTCTTGTGACACTGAATTCTGTGCTTTTCTTTAGGTGATACATTCAGAGTAGAGAAAATGGGGATTGGCACATGCTTGTTTACTATGAGAAGCTGATATGCAGTCTATACAACTCCTCAATACTCACTATGTTTCCTTTAAAACTATGAAAAAGTGTTTTGTTTCCCTAAACCTCAAACTTCATTTTCTCTGACACAGTGTTCTGTCATTTAACAGTGTCTTTTGAGAAAATTATCAATGTAACACTATTAATCATTTAGCAGCTGGTACAACAAAGAGCTTTTAGGAGACTTCAGTTGCAGGAATAATTATTTGCTCACTATGCAGCATGAGATGTGCTTCATGCAATGAACCAGATTCATTCTCTTTTTTTTTTGCCCTTATGATTTCTGAAATTGGAATGTTCAGTGTATGTTTTAAAATAGACTTTATCATATTTATAATTTAGTACAATGAGAAAAATATGTGGCATTTTCTGATGAAAAAGGAAAGAGAATGTAAAGAAAAGATTACCTTTGAATTTTTAAGTATTGAAAGTCTGATCCATCTATTTTAAAGTTCCCCATCAGCTAATGGTTTTAGCAACTGTTAATTATCATTAGGTACAGCAATGATTTTATATGGATTCTGTTATTATTTCTATGTTTGTTAGATGTAATTCTCTAAAGAAGGATTTCTCTTGAGGTGGTTCATTTTTTACAAATTAATTTTACAATGTAGCAGTGAAATATTCAACTGAATTTTACAAAAAAAGTGGGTGTTTTATAAATTTTCTATAAAAAGTTTCAGAATGTGTATGATGTTAAGTCCTATCACTGAATTTGTGAGCACGGAAATGACATAGTTAAATTTTATTTTGCTATTATTAGGTACTGAGTTTTATTGTGTGATCAAAGCTTATTAGCCAATTAACTGAATGGCTCTTAAGAATTTTTGTAAGAGTTGCCTTTTTAATTATAGTATATATTCATTTTAGAAACTTTATATAATAAAGATAAGCATGTAGTAACAATTAAGTTACATAAGAATATACCATCTATAAATAATTTTTAGCATTTTGTCATATAATCTTTAATGTTTATGCATTTTGCTATAATTCACAAATATGTATATACAGCAAATGCATAATTATAAAATCACTGAAAACATATTGTGAATGTTTTATAATAAACTGTATACTATATATTAAACATTTAAAGTGGTGAAATTTTATAAGGCAAAACTCAAAGTGATAACAAAGGATTTAGCCATATGGGCTGACAGCTATAATATGATTTGAGTGTATCCCCACCCAAATCTCATCTTGTTTTCATGATAGCAAATAAGTCTCATGAGATCTGATTATTTTAAAAAGAAGAGAGTTCCCTGCACAAGCTTTCTCTCTTTGCCTGCTGCCATCCACGTAAGATGTGACTTACTCCTACTTGCCTTCCACTATGATTTTGAGGCCTTTCTAACCGTGTGGAACTGTAAGTCCATTAAACCTCTTTCTTTTGTAAATTGCCCAGTCTTGGACATGTCTTTATCAGCAGAATGAAAATGGACTAATGAAGTAAATTGGTACCAGTAGAGTGGATCATTGCTGAAAAGATACCTGAAAATGTGAAAGCAACTTTACAACTGGGTAACAAACAGAGGTTGGAACAGTTTGGAGGGCTCAGAAGAAGACAGGAAAATGTGGAAAAGTTTGGAACTTCCTAGAAACTTATTGGGTGGCTTAGACCAAAATGTTGATAATGATATGGACAATGAAATCCAGGCTGAGGTGGTCTCAAATGGAGATAAGGAACTTGTTGCGAACTTGAGCAAAGGTGACTTTCCTTATGTTTTATAAAAGAGACTGGTGGTATTTTGACCCTGGTCTGGAGATTTGTGAAACTTTGAACTTGAGAGAGATAGTTTAGTGTATCTGGCAGAAGAAATTTCTCAGCAGCAAAGCATTCAAGAGGTGACTTGGGTGCTGCTAATGGAATTCAGCTTTATAAGGGAAGCAGTCTAAAACTTCAGAAAATTTGCAGCCTGACAATGTGATAGAAAAGAAAATCCCATTTTCTGAGGAGAATATCAAGTTGGCTGCCAATATTTGCATAAATAATGAGGAGACAAATGTTAATCACCAAGACAATAGAGAAAATGTCTCCAGGGAATGTCAGAGACCTTAGTGGCAGCCCCTCCCATCATAGGCCTTGAGACCTAGGAGGAAAAAATGGTTTTGTATGCTGGGCCCAGAGTCTCTTTGCTGTATGCAGTCTAGGGACTTGGTGCCCTGCATCCCAGCTGCTCCAGCCATGACTAAAAGGAGCCAAGATACAGCTTAGGCCATGGCTTCAGAGGGTTCAAGCCCCAAACTTTGGCAGCTACCACATGGTGTTGAGCCTGTGGGTGCTTGGAAGTTAAGAATTGAGGTTTGGGAACCTCTGCCTAAGTTTCAGAGGATGTATGGAAATGCCTGAATGTCCTGGCAAAGGTTTCCTGCAGGTGCAGGGTGCTCATGGAGAACCTCTGCTAGGGCAATATGGAAGGGAAATGTGGGGCTGAAGCCCCTACACAGAGTGCCCATTGGGGCACTGCCTAGTGGAGCTGTGAGAAGAGGGCTACTGTCTTCCAGACCACAGAATGGTAGATCCGCAATAGCTTGCACTGTGCACCCAGAAAAGCCATAGACACTCAACACCAGCCTGTGAAAGCAGTCGGGAGGGAGGCTGTACCCTGCAAAGCCATAGGGGCAGAGCTTCCCAAGACCTTGGGAATCCACTTCTTGCATCAATGTGACCTGATGTGAGACATGGAGTGAAAGGAGATCATTTTGGATCTTTAAGATTTGCTTGCTCTGTGGGATATTGGACTTGAATGGGGCCTGTAGCCCCTTTATTGTGGCCAATTTATCCCATTTGGAATGGCTGTATTTACCTGGTGCCTATACCCATGTTGTATCTAGGAAGTAACTAATCTGCTTTTGATTTTATAGGCTCATAGGCAGAAGGGACTTGCCTTGTATCAGATGAGATGTTGGACTGTGGATTTTTGAGTTAATGCTGAAATGAGTTAAGACTTTGGGGGACTGTTGGGAAGGCATGATTAGTTTTGAAATGTGAAGACATGAGATTTGGGAGGGGCTAGGGGTGAAATAATATGGTTTGGCTGTGTCCCCACCCACATCTCCTCTTGAATTCTCATGTGTTGTGGGAGGGACCTGGTGGAGGGTAATCGAATCATGGAAGCTTGTCTTTCTCATGCTGTTCTCATGATAGTTGATAAGTCTCATGAGATCTGATGGTTTTAAAAAGAGGCGTTGCCCTCCACAAGCTCTCTTTCTTTGCCCGCTACCATCCATGTAAGATGTGACTTATTCCTCCTTGCCTTCCATCATGATTGTGAGGCCTCCCCAACCATGTGGAACTGTAAGTCCATTAAACCTCTTTTTTTTGTAAATTGCCCAGTCTCAGGTATGTCTTTATCAGCAGTGTGAAAACAGACTAATACAAACTGAATGCTAGGAGGGATGCAAAGAAAATGAAGCAGAGAAAGGAGGACAAAAAGATGTTCAAAAGAAATGCTATCTAAGACAGAAGTAGAGGGTAGCAGAAGGCAAAGATATGTCCATTTGTTTCAGCGGTCAGTCCTCTGGCCAGCCCCTGTAGATCCCGCATCATGTCTTAGTGACAGAAGAGTAGCAAGAAAAACTGTGAGGATTATTTACACACAAAATCTTTGTGAGATTTGGGTAGTCAAAGAAGCTTCTTTGAGGACAATCCTGACAATGTGTATGTGTATGTGTATGTAGCAAGGTGGACAGTGGATCCAACTTAATTTTTAATTATTCTTTTAAAATGTGAAACATGGAGGTTGATATTTGCAGAGACAGAATTGGGGACATTTCATAAGGAGCTTGGTTTCTTTTGGAGACGTGAAGGATAGAAATCATAAACTTTCCTGAGATTAAAAGTTATTAAAACTCATTGAATGGACAGAGCCAGGCTTGACCAAGGCTTGTAAACAGAAAAGACCAAAGAAGCCCTTGATATTCCCATCACTAGGTGTTTGAAAGTAGATAGGAGCAGTGGACTGGACTTGGCACATGAATAGCAGTCCTGGAGTAAGTATGAGCTGACAGCAAAATTAATTCATGTCTAGCCCTTTTAAATCAGAGGAGGATAAGACATTAGTGAATCTAAAATGTTATACTTCTGGGAGCTTAAAAGAGTTACTTTGGCTGAGCATGGTTATGCAGAGGAAGGCAGCCCTGCAGGGGAAACATTCTCCCATGAAACTTGAAGAATGACAGTATCCAAGACAGGCAGCTGTGGCCTAAAACTGGGGCAGGGAGTCTTGACTTTAGCCACGTAGCCTTAGACAGGACTAGAGGAGTGTGCCAGCCTTTTCTGTGAACCAAGGATTGCTTGCATGTTTTGGATGTTACACTGATGTCTGATTGCCCACAGGGGCTGGGTTGGAAGCAAACTGAATGTATGCTGTTTGATTGTGTATCTCCCAGTTTAAGGAGTTAAATGAAGTCTGTAAAGCAAAAACAAGTAGGTCTGACTAATTGGAAATGAGAAAGCACTCTGGAGGTTCTAAGGATTATCATGGGAATGGGGACCCTGTGGAAGAAGCATGAAAGAACATTAAAAATTGGTGCAATAGTAGCCAAATTCCATACAAATAAGTGAGAGTCCTTATGCATGGAGAAGAAAGGAATTCCCTCTATTTTAGCCCAGAAGCCTCAACATGTTTTGTCTTTTATGTGGTGTGGCATAGTATGGTCATCAACAGAGAGTGCCTTTGTTTCCTGTTGCTGCTGTAACAAATTACCACAAACTTAGCAGCTGAAAACAACACAAATTCATTATCTTATGTTCTGAAGGAAAGACTTCTAAAATGTACAAGTAGGGCTACATTCCCCCTGAATGTTTCAGAAGAGTATCCATCTCCTTGCCTTTTCTAATTTACAGCCCCCATTCCCTGGCTCATTGCCCTGCATTACTCCGACCTCTCCTTCCATCGTCACATCTGTTTCTCTGATTGTCCTCTCCTTGCCTCCTTCTTCACTTATAAGCATACTTGTGATTACGTTGGGCATGCTTGGATATCCAGGATAATCTCTGCATCAAGACCCTTAAATTTAATCACATCTGCAAAGTACTTTTTGCCATGTAAAGTAACATATTCACAGCTTCTGTGAATAATGACATATTTGGCGGGCCCATCATTCCGCCTACCCCAGTGAGCAATGCCAAGACTGGTCACTGACACCCACATCTGTGGCAGGGGCTGGTCGTCTCGACTCAAGAATTTTGCATTAGATAAGTTGCTATTTACTAAAATGCCATGGTTAGGTTATGTAGAGTTCTCCAAAAAATATTGCATGTTTACCCTTGACAATTTTATTGAAGCCATGTATTAGTCAAGTGGGAGATAAAGTTGAAAACACAGTAATACCTCATTAAATGAAAACAAAACCAGGTTGTGGACATCAAAAACAGTATTTCAGGTCAATCTAAATTATTATTGTAGATGTTGTTTGTTAAACTAAATACAATCAATGTTTTCAAAAGAAATGGTGTATTAGCCAGTTTTGTGTTTCTGTAAAGGAATACCTGAGACTGGGTAATTTATGAAGAGAAGAAGTTTATTTGGCTCATGGTTCTGCAGGCTGTACAAGCATGACACCAGCACCTGTTCGGCTTCTGGTGAAGCCTCAGAAAGCTTTTACTCACAGTGGAAGGCAAATAGGGAGCAGGCGTGTCATATGGTGAGAGAGGGAGTAAGTGGGAGGCCAGGCTTTTGTAAACAACATCCGGCATGAGTGACACTGGGAGTTTCACCGTTCCATCATTACCTCTTGGTTCTCAAGACTTTGGACTCAGACTAGATTTAAATCACTGGTTTTCCTGGGTCTCTATATTGTAGATGCCATATTATAGAACTTTTCAGCCTCTATAATTGCATGAGTTAATTTTTCATAATAAATCTTTATATATATTCATGTGTGTGTGCATATGTATATGTGTGTGTGTGTATATATGTATATATGCATATATCTGTATCTATATCTCTATCTCTACAAATGAAATTGTTCTGTTTCTCTGGAGAACCTTGACTAATACAATTAGAGAAATAAATAGAAACAGAAACATTTACAACTACCTCTTCAAGAAAATAAAACATAAAACAAACTGACAAAAGTAAGGAAAAGCATGCCAATTTTGTCAACAAATATAAAGCATTCTATTGAACTGAATACTGGCAATTTGGTTGTAATGAGCAAAACAATCTAATTATCTAAATGTACATGAATCAGAATTATTGAAAAGAAATGGATGGACAGCATTTCTCAAATTTGAAAAAGAAAGCTTCAGTTGCAATTTTAATTTCAGACAAAGTTGAGAATTCATTGCAAGAATAATTAAATGGGCTAAAACCTGTTATTTATATTTAAATGAAAATATAATATTCATGGACTATTTTGGCGGTGCTTAACAATGTATCAATATATATAATTCAAAGACAAATGCTTAAAAAAGAAATGGCTGGGTTCTGTAGCTCACCCCCCAAACTTTGGGAGGCTGAGGTGGGAGGATTGCTTGAGTCCAGGAGTTCGAGACCAGCCTGGGCAATGTAGTGAGACCTCATCTCTACAGAAAATAAAGAGAAAATTAGTCAGCCATGGTGGTTCATGTGTGTAGTTCCAGCCGCTTGGAAGGCTGTGGTGGGAGAATCGCTTGAGCCCAGGAAGTAGAGGCTGCAGTGAGCCATGATTACACTGCTGCACTCCAGCCTGAGTGAGACCTTGTCTCAAAAAAAAAAAAAAAGAAAGAAAGAAAGAAAGGAAGAAAGAAAAAGAAAATAAATGGAAAGATAAATGGTCTAAGATAACTGTTTTTGCCTTTGACAGGTTCAGTACAAACATTTAAATAAGACATAAAAAGTTAGAATAACATACCTTATAAAAATTAACTATTAATTTATATGTAAAGCTTGTTATCCTAAAAGAGATATCAAAATCTACTTTTTAATTTTTATGAAATCTTCCCCCACTCCATTACATATTAGGCTAAAAAGTAAATTTGGAACAGCCTAAATGACAAAAATGATTCAAGATAGATTTTTTTTCTGGCCAAACTGCGGTAAAATATGAAATTTATAATTAAAAATTATAAGTAAACAAATTATCCACACATTTGTTCATTAATGCAAGTCTCCCTGGTTACAAGAGAGTTAAAGAAGATCCCTGTAAGACAAAGTTTTAGGGATGTCTAAAGTGGTGACAAAATCAAATCATAGTCATATGTTTCTATTATTAAATACTTACTTAAAATAAAAATCTATTTGTAGCTAATAAAAAATTATACTTTAATAAGCATATCTACACATAGTATCTTCAAAAGGGTTCCTAGACATGGAATTATTGTGTTAAATGATATACATTTGATTTGTATTATCACTGTATATTCTGGAAATGTTGAAAAAGTAAAAATATCATCTCTTGTATCTACGAAGTGTGACCCCAAAAGTCCCCACTGATACAGGCTCAGTTCTCTGCCAAGCTGTTCCTTAAAGGTGGCAGCCAGCCCTTTCCTTCCCCTGCCCCTTCCCTTTACCTTTCGTGGCTGGCTTATGGCCCATTTCTGAAGAACAGACATGCAACCTTGCACTTTTGTGAAAATCTTTAAGCATTCCCTCATACCCTTTCAATTGTATCACTATATGTGTGTTGTGTTTTAGATATGTGGGTGTGTTACATGCATATTGCTAGTTGCTCATTCGAGTTTATTTTTCCGTTGCACAAGTTGGCCGAGCATCAGTTGCCATGAGAGATTCAGATGAGAAATTCTCACCATCTTCAAGTCACAAACTGCAAGAGAAATTCTTCCGGGGATGGGGACTATCAGGACTGAGGAACATGTCATTTTCCCCAGAAACAGCTCTCATCCTCCTAAGAGATTTGCCTCTTTTTCTTTCTGTTTTTATTTATGAACTCACTTCTGGTAGTTGGAGGAGACTTAACCAGCTCTTTTAGTTTCTTCATCGTTATATTCTTACATCTGCAAGATATTATAGAGTTCAGCTATATGTAATTTGGGGATTGTCCTCTGCAAATAAAGGTGGGGATAGTTGCAAAAGAAGAAAAGATGTTCTAGAACTGGTAGTTGCTATGTGGAGATACTGTAATGAAATAATCTCATGTTACTCTATCAGAGTTCTAACAGTTTATAGGGTGGTACTGACAAAATAATGTGCAGAAAAATGGAATGGAATATGCATTGATGTATCTCTGAATTAAGTATATGCTAATAGAAGAATTACAAACTGACACTGAAGGGATATCTTTACTTAATAAATGGCATGGGGAGAAAGTTATTTCTAGATGAAATCAAGGCTTAAATGAAAAAAATACTGAAGGTGAAGAATTTTGAGTGTAGAATTTTTCAAATAGACTAATATTTAGCTATGAAAGTGAAATATCTTTATTTTCTGATGCTCAGCTCAATGAACCTCAGAAAATTTGCCACACATAAATGACTTTTGAAATTACTCTTGGAGAAAAAATTCTAGCAAAAAAGAGAAATAAATCTAAGAAGAAGTAACATTGTGGAGTTATAGCTTAGCAGTACTATTGTCTTAATAAACAAAAATGATAAACAAACAGATACAAACAAATTAAACAAATGAACCCCATAACATTCTAGAATTAAAATTCCTGGTGATTCTAAAATAATGGGGATAAAAGGAGTGCTGGAGACCAGTGTGGGCTGAGAGTAATTGTCTGGTTCAAGGAAAATATGTACATAGTAATAAATTTAAGAAATTTATAGTTACAAATAAAATCAATTTTAAATTTTAATTAGACAAAAGTGAAAATAGTATGTCTGCTGTTTTACATAGGGTTTAAGATGCCATCAATTGTAAAATGTGCCATCATTTCATTTACCACTATGAAGGACGGATGCCAAACACGACACTATGTGCTTTCTTATCAGTTAGAATATTTATATTCAAAGATTTTTTTAGACATCATCATTTTATGAAAACACAGGAAGAAGAAATAAAGTAAAACCAGATATTATTAAAACTTCTTTACAAGAGTCCAACTCTTCTAAGCTACTTCTTAACTTAGCATCATTGATATTTGTATTTTCCTGCACAAAATAATTCACTGTACCATACAGAGTGATGATGTAGTATTTTTAAAAGAATTTGTAGAAGAAGTAAAACTACTCTGTTCTGCAGGTAGAGGAGGTCTACTTTAGGCTTCGTTTAGGGATGTTGCTACACTTCTCCAGTTCACCACCTCTGTCAACTTCTTTCCCCATATCATTTCATTTCTAGGGGTTAAAAATACTCTACTCTTTAATGTTTTCTCCAGGATTTTCTTCAAACTGCTGACACCAATTCTGTGGGTTTTGATGCTCAAATATTTGATATTTCTACATGTTCAGGAAATGGCAACTGTGTCACAATTACTACCCTGGCCAGTAACGATCATAGAATGCCATAGACTTCAAATCATTCTGGTTTTCAAGACAGTAAACTATAAAACACATACATTTCAGAAGGCATAAATTTTAACTTTCAGTCAACTGAAAACAGTAACCTTCCTAATATGTAAAGTAGGAATGGAAAAAATGAAAAAAAATTAAGATACGGTAATATAGAACACTAAGAATTACACACAAGAAAACCTAAATTATAAGAGTAATATTAATAACTGTGAGTTAAAATATAGAGACACAGGTTGAATTAAAAATAAGATTTAGTGATATGTTGTTTTATTAGTCAAGATTCCCATCAAGGAAAAAACTCAAGATATTTAAAGGAAATTGAATAAAGGTAATTGGTCACACAGATGTTGAATGAGCAAAATGCAGAAGATCATCAGCAGAAGCAAAACAACAATAACAACAACAACAACAAAAGATAGGGTGATACCCAAAGAACAGAAACTTGCTGACAATTCTGGGCTGAAGTCCAGGTTTCTATACCTGCCAATAAATTGATGGAACTGCTGTGACATCCTATTCAGGGTGCACCAAAGAGTTTCCTTTTTGGCCAGGGATAGACCCATAAACTACATTGGTAACAAATACCAATGCTGTCCTCTGTGGCTATGCTGTAGCTCTGTTGCTCTGTCACTGCTGCTGCTGCCCCTGAAGACTGTCACAAACTGAAAACAGGTAAGAGGTATTTCTGCTCTCCTGCACCTTATGAATTTCTATTAGGATTCCCATTAGCAGAACTTGACAGGAAGCCAGTTGGCATGAGATCCTAGGAAACGTCACTTGCAGGCTTTCAGTCCCCTCAACACATAGCAGAATACAGAAACATGGGAATAGGTGCTTAAAACAAACATGCAAATAACTGAAATCACTGTCTACAAGACATACATGTAAAACAGAAGGATATGGAAGTGTTCGTTCATTCAACAAATATTTATGGAAAGCCTTCTAGGTGTTGAGCTCCTCTTCCAGCTGTGATGATACAGCAGACAGCAAAACAGATGAAACATCTGTTTAGTGTATTTTTTTGACCTTTTAACTCAGGGAAGAGAGACAACAAACTACATGAGTAGTTAAATTCAGTCTTTGTTAACACTCGACAAATGCTATGGTGAAAAGTAAAGCAGGGAGAGGGGTAAGGAGGGTAGGGTGTTGCAATTTGATAAAACAGAGGCCTGGAAGTTATCTGAGTAAATCCACACAGAGGGAATTTAGCCAGCACACAGGGAGACAGGAAAAAGCATGGTAGGAGAAGGCAACAAATATATGATGAGGTGACATCATTTGGTCTGAGCAGTGCTGAAAGCTGTCTTTTACTATTTATATAATATTCATACTTTTAAGAACTTGCGTAAGGCACCCCCAGTCTAGTCTTCAGATTAGAACAGATTTCAAGATCACATTGATTTAATGACTTTAGCCTCAGTTTTTTTTTTAACCTTCTAAGGACTTCCTAATAATTATAAATAAGTTAGCATCCACTATAAGTGATTTGTCCTCAAGGACCCTCAAATGGAAATATATCTGACTACCCACACTCTGTGTAGAAACTGCAAGAAACTTTCTATGACACCTGAAAGATTAAACTGTCCCCAGAGTCAATTCACTTCTGAATCTTTCTAGTCATGGAGAGAAGACGTCAGAATGCTTGGCTGCTGTTGCTTAGTGGAAGAGAGAATTAAAGCAATGTCCCCATCAAAACCAAGACATAACACAAGAAAACAAAAATCTCTCTCATTTGGGAATGTGATCATATAATCCCTACTTAGTAAAAATATATGGTTGGCTATAGAACAAAATGAACTATCTGAATTCAAGCCATTGCCTCTTCATGCTTTAATTAGCCTAAGTCCTTCAGAAGGAAGCCCCACTTATTGTTACTGAAGGAAATCAAGAACAAACACAAACTTAGGTAACTACTCACACACATGTGCATGCATATATGACTGAATGTGTTCACATTAATATGAATAAGCATTCATGGGCAGAAAACAAACAAATAAACCAGAGACCTGGAAAGGTCTTGTTGAAAATGTGACATTTAAACAACCATATGAAGGAGGAAAAGTAAATCTGGGTGAAATCTGTGATAATTATTCTGATAATGCACCAAGTAGATATTAAGGTAATAGTATAGTAGGAATAATGAAATAGATAATTTATTGATAAAAGAAATATTAGCTCAAGAAGGTATGATGATCATGCACATAATTTGCAGAATATTAATGCAGCTGAAATGGGCCCAGTTGTCCCATAGAAATTAAGTTATGTTTTCTTTTGAATAAACATAGAAATTGCCCCCCCAGTCTCAAAGCTTGAGAATGTTACATTTGTCTTATATGAGTTCCTTTCTCAGAACACCAACCATCAGTCTTCCCAAATAATGTCAAGGGACTGAAACTTACCAGGTGATTGCATCTGAACAATAAGACACCAGAGCCGTCATCCCTCATGATTGCCTATTCAACCACCTGCTTCCTTTTCACCAACTCCTCTTCCTCACTATTCCCTAATGCTTGTTTTCTCACACATAGTTACATTTCTTCCCCATTATATAAACTCCTAATTTTAATCAGTTGAGGAGATCGATTTGAGACTGATCTCCTATCTTCTGGACTATAACACCCAAAAAAGCCTTCTTCCCTGGCAATGCTTGTTGCCTCAGTGATTGGCTTTCTGTGTGGTGAGGACCAAGATCTAGACCAAACCTCTGGTGTTTCAGTAACACAGCCCTAAAACATGTAACACAACAATGCTCAGGAAAAATAAGTATATCAAAAATTGTGGTTTAAGCTGAGAGATCTAGAAGACAAACCTACTAATATATTAGATTTAGGTAACACATTAAAAAACATGTTAACTGTATGTAGAAATATATACCCAACAACAATAAATATTCTTTTAGTCAATTCATGGGAGATACAATAGACAAGGCCACAACAGAAGCATTAATAAATCCTAAAGAATTGGCGTTGCATTATGACTATGTTCTTTGGCCGTAATTCAATGCAGTGAGAAATTCATAACAAAAGGACAGCTTTAAAAAAATCCCTTATATTTGGAACCTATGATAAATATTTCTTTTATTATAGAGGAACTCTTAGGAAATTATGAAGTACTGAATGAAGTAAAAACACTACATATTGATATTTGTAAGACTCAATCAAAGTGTTACAGGTAATTAGACAGGCATGAGTGGGGCAGGCATTCCCCTACCCACTAGGAATGTCAGGTGGTGGTTTGGCAATTATCACATTGCCTCCCTAAAAGTTATAAATTGGCAGCTAGCATGAGGGAGAGGCCATTCAGTTGCACTGAAGTGTTAATTGAATGCAGAAGCCAGGGAGATGCAACTTCCTGAATATGTGCATGAAGAGACAAAATGGCAGAATATGACCTTCTGGGGGCACACTGCTAGAAAAGGGAAGAAAGCCTCAGGTGGGCATGCATACAGCTTCCTAAAC
Organism: Homo sapiens; assembly: GCF_000001405.40. Taxonomy (NCBI): domain Eukaryota; kingdom Metazoa; phylum Chordata; class Mammalia; order Primates; family Hominidae; genus Homo; species Homo sapiens. The sequence goes on along the minus strand of NC_000006.12, from coordinate 96,307,683 downwards.
ACATTAAGCATGCTTACTTCCCAAGGACAAGGAATCCTGACCACATCTAAAGGCCATCAATAAGAGGTTACAATGGTATTGGTTAAGGAAAATCTTGCTTTTACCTCTCTCCATCTACCTTCTTTCCCTCATCACTGGAAGAGCCAGTGGTAAAAGTTAAAGAAAAAGGTTCTGAAGAAGAGAAGAAACTAAGTCAGACCTTAGCTAGGTGAAGCAGCAAGTTTCAAATGAAACGAGAGACTTGGACTTGACTTTAACTCTTAATATGTGAGTATGACAAGAAAGAAAATACAAAACTTCATTTAGAACAGTGAAAAAATATTCAGAAGATTGCATAAAGGCAATGGTCAAGAAAAAATCAAGTTTCGTTTTTGTGCCTTGCCAGGTGCAACTTACTCAATAAACCAAATATAACTACATGAAATGATTATACTTACTAAAAAAAATCTTACATGTTGTAGTATGTGTCAGAATTTCAACCCATTTTAAGGCTGAATAATACATTGTATACATATACTATATTTTGTTTAACCATTTCTTCTCTGATGGACATTTGGGTTGCTTCCCCCTCTTGGATATTGTGAATAATGCTGTGAGCAAATGGATGCACAAATATCTCTTCATGACCCTGCTTTCAATTCTTTTGAATATATAACCAGAAATGAAATTACTGGATCATATGGTAATCCTATTTTTAATTTTTGAGAAACTGTCATACTGCTTTCTATAGCAGCCGTACTGTTTTACATTCTTACCAACAGTATAGAGGGTTTCCAGTTTCTCCACATTCTTCCTAACACTTGTTATTTTCTATTTTATTTTTAATAGTAGTCATCCTAAAAGATGTGAGTTTATAGTTAATTGTGGTTTTGATTTGCATTTCCCTAATGATTAGTGATGTTGAGCATCTTTCCATATGCTCCTTGGCCATAAAATGTTTCTGATTATCAAAGTCCTTAAGAACAAATATTTCTCCCTATATATCATTTAAAAAAGAAGATGTCTTATTGTTGCTATAAAATATATTACACAACAATAAGGATAACATTAGCATCTCAAAATAAACAGAATTCACATAAAAAGAACTCAAGATAGTCATTAAAAAGACTTCAGGCCAGGTGTGGTGGCTCACACCTGTAATCCTAGCACTTTGGGATGCCAAGGCGGGTGGATCACAAGGTCGGGAGTTCGAGACCAGCCTGGCCAATATGGTGAAACCCTGTCTCTACTAAAAATACAAAGATTACCCAGGCGTGGTGGTGTGCGCCTGTAGTCCCAGCTACTCAGAGACTGAGGCAGGAGAATGGCTTGAACCCGGGAGGTGGAGGTTGCAGTGAGCCGAGATCATGCCACTGCGCTCCAGCCTGGGTGACGGAGAGAGACTCTGGCTCAAACAAACAAACAAAAAAATGCCAGTTATTTTAATATAAATGTAAATATAATTTAAAGCATCAAGTCTTTAAAAATATCAAATTCACAAAAATTAAAAAAATATTAATATTTAATATAACTGAGGGCTTATTGAGACATTCATATTCTTAAAATGATGCCATTGTTTTGATCCTTCTGGAATGAAGTTATCTGTCTATTCATCTGTCTCTCTCTCCTGCATATATCACATCTATCTTAAATTTATAAAAATAAAATATTTTTTGACCCTTTAATAAAGTCATGATAAAATACAAATCATGAAGAAAAAATGCATAAATTTAACTCTATCAAAATAGAAAATTCTAAAGACCGTCAGCAAAATTAAGACAAGAAATAGACCAGTAGAAGGTTTTTGTAACAGAGATAACAAATGATAAATGTCTAAGATAAATAATTTCCATACAATAATATGAAAAAGACAAATAAACCCATAGAATATAAGTCAAGTCTTTGAATGGCTAATAAATATGTGTATAAGATCTCTAGATTTATTAATAATAACTTACAAAGTAAATTACAGTGTAATATCTTTCTGTTGCATCAGCTTGATAAAAATATTATGACTATACCTAGCATTGGCAAGGAGAAAAGAAAACTATTGTTCATTGATGATGAGAGTATTAATGAGAACAAACTGTTAAAACTACTGTGGCAGTATGTATTACATTTGCATATTCGCGTATATTAGTTCCAAAAATTCAATTTTAGGTGTGTAATATTATGGAACAAGGCTGCAGATTAAAAATTCCACTTTAAAAAATAATAATTGAAATCCAGGGAGGAGAGTGACTCATAGCTTGAGCTAGTGATGACCATAACCCGTTTTTTTTGCACATCAAAATTAGAAGCTATATAAAAATGACTGAGTAAATTCAAGGTATTTCTTCCTTCTCCCTACATGCACATACATGAATTCAGGAAGTCCTTGGTAGTCAGCAGGATAGGGAAGGTATATACTGGAAACAAACTTTGAAAGAGAAAGTTGAAGATACACATTTGAAAAGGTCAATCATATAGATGTGTAAACAAGGTGACTCACAATATTTATTCAGAACGAAAGTGAATGTGATATTGAGAAACTGTGAAGAGGTTAGAGGTAGTTGTTTACCAGAGCAAAACATTACTGTTAGCTGAGTAGTTAACTGAATAACTGACACACATTTCTTTTGATTGTGTTGTGGCTGACTTTGCCATGATGCCCTTCTGGTACTCTACACAGGATGACAAAACAATCGTTTTCAATGTGGTAAAATCTGTACTAGTAATAAGAAAAAAATAAAAACAATCCCAAATATCCGTCAACAAGTGAACAGAGGAATAAATTTTAGACAATTCATATAATGGAATATTATACAATATATAGAATGAACTAGAGCTTAGCAAATAGAGACCAATGCTTGAGTGTGGAATGGAAGTTTTTGTTACCAGACAGGGCCCAATCCAGCACAGCATCTAAATATTGATGAATGAGGTGTCAGGGAAGAAAAATGTGGTAGGTCTCTTAAAGTTGAGAAACAAATCAAACCATCTCTGCCTCATATTACGAAAGCGCAGCCTCAGACTGCAGTTGATCAGCGGGGAATAACTATGATGGTTCGGAAGGTTTCAGGTGGCAAATATCACTTCAGTTCTTTCTTCAGGATTTCAGCATCTGGCTATCTTTGTTGTGCAGGTAAGTTTCTTAGTTTGGAATTATAATACCCAGATATCTTTTAGTAAAGTTGGTGTGCCCTGCTGTCAGCATACTGGACAACCAGGTTAAGAGCAAGTAGCAACGTGGGCAGATCTCAGAGATGATAGTAAATGCAAAAAGCATATTGCTGAACCATTGAGCAGTCAGAATTATTTATGTAAATTATGTACATTTTAAAACACACTAAGGGGTTTATATTTTGTTATTTTGAGCATATTTAAGAAGAATATTCTTGGGATGATTATTAGCTGCTTATAGATTGTGTTTGCTTGATTATCCTAGACACTGAAATCGGAAAAGAAAATGCCGAGCACATTTGGCTAAATGGGTTTACTTACCATTCCATCAAAACTAAAATAAATGATATCTGGCTATAAAAATAAAAATAGCTACTTTTCTCTTACAGCAGCTATGAGCTGGAACCACCAGGCATAGCTCCTTGGATAATGTGTGGAGTCAGGGGTTTGGAATTTTAGAGTAGTAAAATATTGTCCTTATATGCCTTACCAATACCTTCTGAATTGACAGTGTAGAATTGGTAGCTCTCACCTTCCTTTCAGTGTTTTCACAGACTACAGAGTAGTCAGTGCAGACTAATAAAGACATGAAGCTCTATGTGAGAGCCAGGCAAACTTCTCTAGAGGAGCCATTGTCTTTCAGGGATTTCTTGGGCAAGCTCCAGACATCAATATTTCCTTTTCATCTAATGGCAATAATTCAAAGACCGGGGAAATCACTTAAATATTTATAGGAGCTACCTGCCCATGCTCATGCCTGGGCTGTCATCAGACTTAAGGAAAGGCACGAGCCCTGTCATCAAAGGCAGGTACTTCCAAAGAAAAAACAGCACACACTCTGATATATCTTTAACGGAAAAACAAATCATACTTCTACGGAAAGTGTTGGCGTTGATGTGATGGAATGTTGAAATTTATTCATAGATGTGAAAATTCTTCCATGTCAGAAAAAAATGACACTGAGCTTGGCCAAGCTTCACATTAAATCTGTACCCTTGACTTCCCTCACTAATTAGTCTTTCCACCTAGAAAGCCACTGGAACAAGGTCCTCAGATCGGCATCGCTGTAGCTGCTTGAGCCTCACCAGGTGGTCAGATCATAGGCAGCTATTTTCCTCGCTGTAACCAAACCTACAAACCTCTGGCACAGCAATTCAACTGCAGAAAATGTGCCCCGTTGCTGTTTTGAAAGATTCTTCTCTTTGTCTTCTAATAACTCAGGCTCTATTTTCCCGTTATTTATTTTGTCTTTAGATTTAATCAGGATTGTCAAAGGTTTTTATTTTTACAGCCAGACATCATACATTCTGTGACAAGCTCTTCAATGGACCATTTGAGCTTATGTGACCTGCTTTCTGTTTCTTTTTCATCCTTCTAACTTTTATAACTCATGTCCGACTTTCAGCTACTTTAGCAGTGCTATTTAGAACAGGATTCAACACATTTCCACATTGTTTGCCAGTAGGCTTTTAAACTGGGCCTTTTAAAATATGCTTTTGAGTCAGAGTTTTACTAGAATGCAATAATTATTCTTTCATCCTTGCTGCATTTTTATATTGGTGAGTAAATAAAGCAATAACCATACAGAATGTTTATTAGTGATATAATTACCTATTGCCAATAGCCAAACACCTGGTGAAAGCCACAAATTCCCCAAATGTATGTTAATTTACTTAATAGATGTGCCAGTTCATAGATGTATTAAATAAACACTAGCTTTTTGATTGGTTGATTCAGGCTATATTTGTTTGCACATATGTTTGTCCGAAAACTTTCCTAGTCAATTTAGTCAGCCAACCAATTAGGTCAGTTCGCAAAACTGCCAACTGATATGATTGCATATTTTGACTCATTGTATTGTCAAATTCATGCTATTAAAACAATAGGCTTTTTACTTATATTTGTCTTCCCCACCACACTAATAGCTCCATACTTAATTCGATCATGGCTAGATGTCTTTGGAGCTATTCAGTCCTCCTCCAACTTGATTCTGAGCAATTGAAAAACAATCATTATAATTAATTCTAAATCTTCTTGTCATTTCACCATCTCATACTTCATATTATCTCTTTCTTAGTGCAATTGTTTCTGTATCTATTTTATGGAGTTTAACATTTCTGTCTTCAGATTCAGGTCCTAATCAATCTCCTGCAGAAGACTTAAAAACTTTTGCCTTCATTTGTAATGATCTATGCGCTTTAGACTTACTCATTCACAGATTAAAACCTTTTTTTTTTATTGTGGTCAGATTTTCATATTTCTAACACCTTGATTTCTGCATTTAGCATTCTTTTGTCCTTTCTTTCATTTAATTAACTGAGTTAATTAATTCGATTTTAATAGTTACTTCTTCCTTGTGTCCAATATTATGTTAAATAAGTGAAAGAAATGAAAAAGACAATTCTTTTCCTTGTGGAGTTTGTGCTCTGGTTAGAAAGAGATGTGGGAAAAAACAAAACAAAACAAAACAACCACCCACACAGATAATAGTAAAAACTATCAAAGCAGAATCCCAGAGGGCAGGCAGAGGGGCAATGTGCCAAGATGGTCAAGAACAATGGCTCTCACATCAGACTGTCTGCTCCTGTAATGACGTCACCACTTGGAAATCATGTGGCTGTGAAGGAAATTCCTTTCCTTTTTCAGGCCTCAGATTCCTTTTATTTTAATTTAGGATACCTATAGGACTTACTTCATTGACTTGTCGTGAGAAGGTAATGAAATGATACATATTCAATACTTAGGCTAATTCCTGACACATAAAACGCAGTTGATACATGGTGTTGTTATTAAAATATGATTATTGTTACTAGCTGCCCCAACTTCAGAAGGTAGAGAAAAAAGAGGATTTGGCATAACTGGCAGACTGCCATTTGGGTAAATGAGAATAAGGCTGTGAGCTATGAGATGTGGTTTGTTTTCTGGATCTGCCACTAAAAACCGGTAGTCCCTCCACCTTTCAAAACTCAAAATTGTTTTAAGTGACATTGTTACTGACCACAGGTTCTTGGGCTCTCCATTCAACAGAAATTGACACAGGCCAAAAGAGTTTTCCAAATAAGACTTAATTGGAGTTTACGCCCAGACATAAGGGAGGCAGTGTGAGAGAGAGAGAGAGAGAGAGAGACAGAGAATTCCTTGACTGAGTCCCTAAAAAGAGCTGGAGGTAGGGTTTTTTTTTTTTTTTTTTTCCAAAGCGTGGGAATTGACATCAGGGGTAGGGTGTGCACATTGAGCTGGTCAAAGCACGTGAGGGGTGAGGTATGTGGGTCAGAATTATTTGGTTGTGATGGTTATCTTGAGTAATGGGCCACCTGATGGTCTAGTCTGTGGGCAAAAAGGCTATAAATCAATTGTTCAGCATTCCTGCCTGAAGTGGGACACTCTGCAACCTTGGTTGTCTCTTGAGGCCACTTCCTGGAATTCTTTGAGTAAAAGGCATGGTTAAACATTATGGCATTAGTGAGGTAGTGGTGTGAGTTTTGTGATCAGCGGGAATGCATGAAAGAATGCTCCAGTGGGGATGAGTTGCAACCAAGTCCTCTTCCTACTCTGTCTCAAAATGAACAGATTTAAATAGTTTTTCTCCCCTACCAAATTCAGGTTAGGTTAGACCTTTAAAACCATGCTCTCACAGATTTCAGTATTTATTATTATTATTTGAGACACAGTCTCGTTCTGTCACTCAGGCTGGAGTGCGGTGGTGTGTGATCTCTGCTCACTGCAACCTCTGCTTCCCGGGTTCAAGCAATTCTCCTGCCTCAGCCACCCGAGTAGCTGGGATTACAGATGCCTGCCACCATGTCTGGCTAATGTTTATATTTTTATTAGAGATGGAGTTTTGCCATGTTGCCCAGGCTAGCCTTGAACTCCTGGCCTCAAGTGATCCACCTGCCTCAGCCTCCCAAAGTGCTAGGATTACAAGTGTGAGCCACTGCATCCAACTGTATTATTTGTATTATAATGTTACTAATATTATTTAGATAAGTACAATCATTAAGCAATATAAATCTTTAATACTTATAAAACTATAAAATGAAAATCAAAGCAAATATCCCTATTTGGGGCCTGATTTGTTTTGATTTGCCTTGATTTAATTTTATTTGAGTCTACAGAGTGCAAATAGATGGCTTCATTCTATTTTTCCTGTTGCCTTTATTATAAACAGACCACGTGGGATTTTTTTGCTCACTCCTTTGATGGCACAGTGGGCCTAATTTTTTCAGTCACTTTCAGGTGTTGAAATAATTTCATTTTTTAGCTACTAGAAAATCCATTGTGACCTTAATCATATAACCAAAGATAACATCACAGTAACGGGACAAAATGAAATCGTGTGCCACAGTTACAGTAGGTAGCTAGTCAGACATGAGCAGAGCTGGAGAGGGCTCCCCTACCCTCTGCCACCAGGAATGTTAGGCAGCCATCAGGTGATGGGCAGGCAGTTGTTACACTGTTTCTGTAAAATAATAATTGGTCGCAGCCTGCACCAGGGAAAGGAAATCTCCCAATAGATAGAAAAAACCTGAAAGTGGTGATCAGCAGTTTCCCAATAAGATCTCATGATCCGGGCAAGTGGGCTCAAACATGTGATTAAGAGGCGAAATGGCAGAGTTTAACTGGTATATGACCTTCTAGGGACATTTGACTGGTAAGGAAAGACACCTCAAGTGAGCATGTGTACAACTCCAGTAAACACACTGTGCTTGCGGCCCCTTCCAAGTGCTGGCAGGCCACTGTGCATGCAGACAGTCCACTCCACAAGGAAAGAATCAAGGAAGAAGGAGCACAAGACCTGGAAGCATGCCAGCATATAAAACCCCAAGTCAAAAAGTCAAGCCATGCACTTGATCTCTCAAGTTACCCACTTGGTCCTCTTCCAGGTGTATTTTACTTCCTTTCATTCCTGCTCTAAAGTTTTCATTAATCTTTCACTTCTGCTCTAACACTTGCCTCTGTCTCTCCTTATGCCTTATGCCATTCAGTTGAATTCTTTCTTCTGAGGAGGCAAGTATTGAGGTTGCTGCAGACCCATATAGATTCATCGCTGGTAACACCACCTTAGGCAGACTGAGAAAAACATAGTGTGTCTTCCATGATATTCTTGCCAAAGATACAGAACTTGAATCATATCACCAGGAAGCATGAGACAAATCCAAATTGTCAGGCAATCTATAGAACAACTGACCTATAATTTTCAAAAGAATTAGGATGTGGGAGTCAAGGTAGACTAAGAAACTCTTCCAGATTGAAGGGAATTAGAGAAACATGACAGCTAAATGCAATTTGCATTCCTGGATTAAATCTTTTTGCTATAAAGGATGTTATGAGGACAACTGCAAAAATTAAGTGGAATGTGAGGATTTGATGCTAGCAATGTGTCAGTATTAGTTTTCTGATTTTGATGGCTGCCTTATAGTTATGTATAAAAAGTCCTTGTTTCTAAAAATAGCATGCTGAAGTATTAAAAGGTGATGACATTGCATTAACACTTTACTTTCAAATAATTTAGGAAAAAAATGACTTGTACTTGCAACTTTTCTGTAATTTTGAAATTAAACTATTTAAAATTATTTAATATGTTTTTCAATGGGTCTGAAAGGAAATATACGTACCTATGTATAAATCCAATTCACAGCTAAATAAAAACTCCAGTGTCTTACTTAATATTTTGCTTCCTTCTCTAGTTTAATCCTGAACTGTAATACTGTAAACCCCATAGAGAAGGCAATGCATTCTGTGCTATCTTTCCCTGCTTCATAGCCTGATCCTCACCTCCGCTGCTCCTATTTCTTCTGGGTCTGGGACATCGGAAAAAGTATTTAGGAGGAAAGGACAGCCTTACCTGACTGGTTCTCTTGAAATCTGATCATAGACGCCATCTGTTATGGCAGAAACCACATTTTAAAAATTTCCCCTGTGGGTCACTTTATAAACCTTTGGGGATATACCACAGAGACCTACACAGTAGCATTCCCTGATGCTGATAATGTGTGCTCCAAAGAAGCCCAAACCACACTTTTAGGAACTACACCTCTGGAGTGGTTTTTAGCAGGATTTATTCAATGTCATCCTAACTTCTAAGTCTCCACTGAATCCTGGGAAAATTCACCACCTTTACGCTGTCAAATGCGGACCACTGTAATCTCAGCTACTCTGGAGACTGAGACATGAGAATCACTTGAACCGGGGAGGCAGAGGTGGTGGTGAGCCGAGATCATGCCACTGTACTCCAGCCTGGATGACACAGACAGACTCTGTCTCAAAAAAAAAAAAAAAAAAAAAAAAAAGTTAGAGGAAAAGTGGAGAGGGAACAGGGAGGATATGGTAATTCACATATTGCAAGAGAAAAAGAGCAGGTAGGGAACAGTCAATTATGTATTTGTCTCATATTTTACATAAGATCTGGAAATATTTAACTTTTATCTATAGCTATTTAACTTGTGGAAATATTTAACCTTTTATCTATAGCTATCTGCTTAGGAACAAAAGGAAAGGCAGCTTCTTTCATGACTCAGCTTTCACCTTAATATTTTTATTTTGGCATAGTGAATTGGGGTCCCAAGTTTTTATTTTACTTTCACAAGGTCAATATTGCATTCTGGAAAATATTGCTACCATTATCACAATGAAACTCTATCACTCTCCTGTTATTTTTTAACTCTATGATTCCATTTATTTGACAATATTATGCAGGCAAAACAACAAAGACAGAAAACAGATCAGTGGTTGTCAGAGTGTAGGGATTAGAGGAGAGGTTGACCACAAAGAAGCATGGAGAAGTTTTTGGGACTGATGGGACTATTCTGGTTACACAACTGTGTATGTTAATAAAACTCACAGAACTGTACACTAAAAGGAAAAATTTTATTATATATAATTGAACCTTAGTTTCTAAAATGAAAAAGAAAATCAACCAATTCAAAAAAGGGGGAGATTTAGAATGTATAATGAGTAATTAATTTAAATACCAAATGCTGGGCAATACAAACTTCCACCTATGTTTCCCCTAGAAAATATCAAATGAATTCTATGTTGAACATTATGGTTTTTAAAATGGTTCTCTTTAAAGGGGACCTGCAAATAAATTTTGAGTGCTATCTTTAGTCTGGTGCAAGGAAAAAGAGAGGCTGACCATAGGGGACAGCCAATATATAGACAATGTAGTTCATTTTAAAATGCAAATTAAAATGTATTGTCATTTCTCCACTAGCATACTGGCAATTTCAATATTATCTGTACAGTAAGACTGAGCCAAAAGACAATGGATTGATATTTTCAAAATTTAGAGGAAATTGTTTTCCACCTGAAATTTTTAAATAGTATGTTTTTATTTCAATAGCTTTTGGGGTACAAGTGGTTTTTGCATACACGGATGAATTGTTTAGTGGTGAAGTCTGAGATTTTAGTGTACCTGTCACCAAAATAATGTACATTATGCCCACTATGTAGTGTTTTATCCCTCACTGCCCCTCACAGTCTCCCTCTTCTGAGTCTCCATAGCCCATTATATCACTCTGTATGCCTTCGTGTTTCCACAGGTTAGCTCCCACTTGTAAGTGAGAACATATGGTATTAGCTTTCCATTCCTGGGTTACTTCACTTAGAATAATGGCCTCCAGCTCCATCCATCCAAGTTGCTGCAAAATACACTATTTCATTCTTTTTTAATGGCTGAGTAGTATTCCATGGTGTATATATACCACATTGTCTTTAACCACTCTTTGGTCAATGGTCATTTAGGTTGGTTCTATATGTTTGCTACTATGAATTGTGCTGCAGTAAACATACATGTGCAGATGCCTTTTTGGTGTAATGCCTTTTCCTTTGGGTAGATACCCAACAGTGGGATTGTTGCATTGGATAGTAGATTTACTTTTAGTTCTTTAAGAAATCTCTATACGGTTTTCCATGGAGGTTGTACTAACTTACATTCCCACCAGCAGTGTATAAGTGTTCCCTTTTCACCACACCATGCCAATGTCTATTGTTTTTTGACTTTTTAACAATGGCCAGTCCTGAAGGAGTAAGGTGGTATTGCATTGTCATTTTAATTTGCATTTCCCTAATGATTAGTGATGTTGAGCATTTTTCATATGTTTGTTGGACATTTGTGTATCTTTTTTTGAGACATGTCTCTTCATGTCCTTTGCCCACTTTTTGATGGGATTTTTTTTCTTGCTGATTTGTTTGAGTTACTTGTACATTCTGGATATTCGTCCTTTGTTGGATTCATAGTTTGCAAATTTTTTTCTCCTTACTGTGCTTTGTCTGTTTACTCTGAGATTATTTGTTTTGCTTGTACAGAATTTTTTAGTTTTATTAGGTCCTATTTATTTATTTTTGTTATTGTTGCATTTGCTTTTGGAGGTCTTAATCATTAATTATTTGCCTATGCCAATGTCCAGAAGATTTTTTTTCTAGGTTATCTTCTAGGGTTTGTATGGTTTCAGGTCACAGATTTAAGTCTTTGATCCATCTTGAGTTTATCTTTATGTAAGGTGAGAGACAAGGATCCAGTTTCATTCTTCTACATGTGGCTAGCCAATTTTCCCAGCACAATTTATTAAATAAAGTGTACTGTCCCCACTTTTTTTGTTTGCTTTGTTGGGGATCAGTTGGTTATAAGTATTTGGATTTATTTCTGAGTTCCCTATTTTGTTCCATTGATCGGTGTGTCTACTTTCATACCATTACCATGCTGCTTTGGTAACTATAGCCTTGTAGTATAATTTGAAGTCCAGCAATGTGATGCCTCTGAATTTGTTCCTTTTGTGTAGGGTTGCTTTGGCTATTTGGGTGTTTTTTTTTTGGTTCTATATGAATTTTATAATTGTTTTCTCTAATTCTGTGAAATATGATACTGGTATTTTGAAAGGAATGGCATTAAATCTGTGGATTGCTTTGGGCAATATGGTCATTTTCACAATATTGATTCTTCCAATCCCTGAATGTGGGATGTGTTTCCATTTGTTTGTGTCAGCTATGATTTATTTTAGCAGTGTTTTGTAGTTCTTCTTGTATAGATTTTTCATCTCCTTGTAAAAGGGTATTTTATTCTTTTGCAGCTGTTGTAAAAGGGATTGAGTTCTTAATTTGATTCTCATCTTTGTCATTGTTGGTGTTTAGCAGTGGTACTGATTTGTGTATATTAATTCTGTAACCTGAGACTTTACTAAATTTGTTTATCAAATCTAGGAGTCTTTTGGATGAGTCTTTAGGGTTTACCAGGTACATAATCATATCACTGGTGAACAGTGCTAATTTTTGACTCCCCCTTTTTCAATTTAAATGTACTTTCTTGCTTTACCTAAGACTTTCAGTACTATGCTGAATAGAAGTGGTGAAAGTGGGCATCTTTGTCTCGTTCCGGTTCTCAGAGGAAATGCTTTCAACTTTTCCCTACTCAGTATAACGTAGGCTGTGGGTTTGCCATATGTAGATTTTATTATTTTGAGGTAAGTGCCTTCTATGCCTAGTTTGTTGAGTGTTTGTATCATAAAGAAATGCTGAATTTTATAGAATGCCTTTCTGCATAGATTGAAATTATCATATGGTTTTTGTTTTTTAATTCTTTTTATGTGATGTGCTACATTTATTGACTTACATATGTCAGACCATCCCTACATTCCTGGGATGAAACCTACTTGATCATGGTATATTATCTTTTTGAGGCACTGTTGAATTCAGTTAGCTAGTATTTTATTGAGCATTTTTGTATATATGTTCATCAGGGATGTTGGTCTGTCATTTTCTTTTGTTGTTATGTGCTTTTCTGGTTTTGGTATCAGGTTGATACCGACTTCATAGAATGAGTTATGGAGGACTCCCTCTTTCTCCATCATTTGGAATAGTTTCAGTAGAATTGGCACCAATTATTCTTTGGGTGTCTGGAAGAATTCAGCTTTGAATCTAGCTGGCCCTGGGCTTTGTTTTGTTGTTGGTAATTTTTAAATTACTGATGCAATCTCACTGCTTGTTATTGTTCTGTTCAGAGTTTCTATTTATTCCTGATTTAATCTAGGTGGGTTGTATATTTCCAGGAAGTTATCCATTTCCTCTAAATGTTCTAGTTTGTGTGCATAGAGGTGTTGATAGTAGTCTCAAATGATGTTTTGTCTTTGTGTGTTGTTGCTTGTAGTGTCTCCATTTGCATTTCCAATTGAGATTACTTGAATCTTCTATCTTTTCTTGGTTAACCTTGGCTAATGGTCTATCAAATTTGTTCATCTTTTCAAAGAACCAGCTTTTTGTTTAATTTATCATCTGATCTTCTCTATTTTTCTTTGTTTCAATTTTATTTAGTTCTGCTCTGATCTTTTTTTTTCTTCTTCTGCTAGCTTTGGGTCCAGTTTATTGTTGTTCCTCTAGTTCCTTGAAGAGTGGCATTAGGTTGTTTACTTGTGACTTTTCAGACTTTTTAAAACTTTCAATAGTTTTTTGAGAACAGTGGGTTTTTGATTACATGAATAAGTTCTTTAGTGGTGATTTCTGAGGTTTTGGTATACCCATCACCCATACAGTGTACACTGTGTCCAATATATAGTCTTTTATCCCTCATCCCCCTCCCAAATTCTCTCTGAGTCCCCAAAGTCAATTTTATCATTCTTATGCCTTTGTATCCTCATAGCTTAACTCCCACTTATGAGTGAGAACATATACCATTGCTATTTGGTTTTTCATTCCTGAGTTACTTAACTTAGAATGATCATCTCCAAATCCATCCAAGTTGCTGCAATTGCCATTACATCATTCCTTATTATGGCTGAGTAGTATTCCATGGTGTGTATATACCACATTTTCTTTATTCATTCATTGGCTGATGGACATTTATGCTGCTTTCATGTTTTTGCAATTGCAAATTGTGCTGCTATAAACATGTGTATGCAAGAGTCTTTTTCATATAATGACTTCTTTTTTTGTGGGGTAGATACCCAGTAGTGGGACTGATGGATTAAAAGGTGGTTCTACTTTTAGTTCTTTAAGGAATCTGCATACTGTTTCCCATAGTGGTTGCACTAGTTTGCATTCCCACCAGCAGTGTAAAATTGTTTCTTTTCTTACCACATCCACACTGACATCTATTTTTTTTTAAATTATGGCCATTTTTGCAAGAATAAGTTGGTATCTCATTGTGGTTTTAATTTGCATTTCCCTGATAATTAGTGATGTTGAGCAGTTTTTCATATGTTTGTTGGCCATTTGTATATCTTCTTTTGAGAATTATCTATTCATATCTTTTGTCCACTTTTTGATTGGATTTTTTTCCTTGATTGTCTTTTCCTTGATTTTCCTGATTTGTCTGAATTACTTATAGATACAGGATATTAGTCCTTTGTCAGATGCATAGTTTCTCAATATTTTCTCCCAGTCTGTGGGTTGTCTGTTTACTCTGCTGATTATTTCTTTTACTGTGCAGAAGATTTTTAGTTTAATTTGGTCTCATCTATTTAGTTTTGTTTTTGTTGCATTTCCTTTTGGGCTCTTGGCCATGAACTCTTTGCCTAAGCTAAAGTCTAGAAGAGTTTTTCTAATGTTATTTTCTAGAGTTGTTATGGTTTCAGGTGTTAGATGTAAGTCTGTGATCCATCTGAAGTTGATTTTTGTGTAAGGTGAGAGATGAGGATCCAGTTTCATTCTTCTACATGTGGCTTGCCAATTATCCTAACATCATTTATTGAATAGGGTACCCTTTCTCCAATTTCTAATTTTGTTTGCTTTGTCAAAGATCAGTTGGCTGTATTTGGCTTTATCTATAGGTTCTCAAATCTGTTCCATTTGTCTATGTGCCTATTGTTATACCAGTGCCATCCCATTTTGATAACTATAGTCTTGTAGCATAGTTTGAAGTCAGGCAATGTGATGCCTCCAGATTTGTTCTTTTTGATTATTCTTGCTTTGGCTATGCAGGCTCTTTATTGGTTTCATATAAATTTTAGGACTGTTTTATCTAATTCTGTGAAGAATGGTGATAACATTTTGATGGGAATTGCATTGAATCTGTAGGTTGCTCTGGGCAATATGCTCATTTTCACAATATTGATTCTACCCATCCATGAGCATGGAATATGTTTCCCTTTGTTTGTTTCATCAGTCATTTCTTTCAGCAGTGTGTTGTAGTTTTCCTTGTAGAAATTTTTAACCTCCTTGGTTATGTTATTCCTATGTATTTTATTTTATTTTTTGCTGCTGTTGTAAAAGAGATTGAGTTCTTGATTCAACTCCAAGCTTCATTATCGTTGGTATAGAGCAATGCTACTGACTTGCGTATATTGATTTTGCATACTGAGACTTTATTAAATTTGTTTATCAGATCCAGGAGCTTTCTGGGTGAGTCTTTTGGGTTTTCTAAGCCTATGATTGTATCATTGGTGAACAACAATGGTTTGACTTCCTCTTTACCAATTTGGATGCCCTTCACTTCTTTCTCATGTCTGATAGCTCTGGCTAGGACTTTCAGTATTATGTTGAATAGAAGTCATGAAGGTGGGCAACCTTGCCTTATTCCAGTTCTTGGGGGGAATGATTTCAACTTTTCCCCATCCAGTACAATTTTGGCTGTGGGTTTGTCATAGATAGCTTTTATTACCTTGAGGTGTTTCACTTCTATGCCAGTTTTGTGAGGGTTTTAATCTTAAAGGGATACTGGATTTTGTCAAATGCTTTTCTGCGTCTACTGACATGATAATATAATTGTTATTTTTAATTTTGTTTATGTGATGTATCATATTTATTGATGAGTATGTTAAATCATCCCTGCCTCCCTGGTATGAAGCCCACTTGGTCCTGATGTATAATTTTTTTTGATATGCTCTTGGATTTGGTTAGCTATTATTTTGTTGAGAATTTTTGCATCTATGTTCATCAGGGTGTTGGTCTGTGGTTTCCTTTTTTTATTATGTCCTTTCCTGGTTTTGATATTAGGATGATACTGGGTTCACAGAATGATTCAGATAGGATTCCCTCTTTTTCTGTCTTTTGAAATAGTAACAGTAGGACTGGTACCACTTCTTCTTTGAATGAATATTTGATAAAATTGAGCTGTGTATTCATCTGGACTTTTTATGTTGGCAATTTTTTTTATTACTGTTTCAATCATGCTACTTGTTATTGCTCTGTTCAGAGTTTCTATTTCTTTCTAATTTAATCTAGGAGGGTTGTATATTTCCAGAAATTTATCCATATCCTTTAGATTTTCTAGTTTGTGTGCATAAAGGTGTTCATAGTAGCCTTGAATGATCTTTTGTATTTCTGTGGTATTGATTGTAATATCTCCCATTTCATTTCTAATTGAGCTTATTTGGATTTTCTCTCTCCTTTTTTTTGGTTAATCTCACTAATGGTCTATCAGTTTTGTTTATCTTTTCAAAGAGCCTGCTTTATGTTTCATTTATCTTTTTTAAAAAAATTATTTAGTTTTGCTCTGATTTTTAAATTCCTTTTCTGCTTCCGGGTTTGGGTTGTTCTTCTTTCTCTAGTTCCTTGAGGTGTGACATTAGATTGTCTATTTGTGCTCTTTTAGGTGTTTTAGTGCAGGCATTTAATGCTATGAACTTTCGTCTTAGCACTGCTTTTGCTGTATCTCAGAGGTTTTGATAACTTTTGTTGCTATATTTTTCAGTTCAAATAATTTTTGAATTTCCATTTTGATTTAATATTGACCCAGACATCACTCAAGAGCAGATTATTTAATGTTCATGTATTTGTGTAATTGTGAGAGTTCTTTTTCAGTCAATTTCCAGTTTTAGTTCATTGTGGTCTTAGAGGATGCTTGATATGATTTTGATTTTTTAAAATTTATTGAGACCTGTTTTGTGGCCTGTTATATGCTCTATCTTGGAAAATGTTTCATGTGCTAATGAGAAGAATGTGTTTTCTGAAGTTCTTGCATAGAATATTCTGTAAATATCTGTTAGGTCCATTTGTTCTAGAGCATAGCTGAAGTCATTATTTCTTTGCTGACTTTCTGTCTCAATAACTTTCTAGTGCTGTCAGTGGAGAGTTGAATCACTGGCTATTATTGTGTTACTTTCTATCTCATTTATTAGGGCTCATAGCAATTGTTTTATAAATTTGGGAGCTCCAGTGTTAGGAGCATATAAATTCAAGATGGTAATATCTTCTTAGTGGATTGATTCTTTTATCATTATACAGAGGCCTTCTTTGCCTTTTTTTTCTGCTGTTGCTTTAAAGTGCATTTTATCTGATATGAGAATATCTACACCTGCTAGCTTATCGTTTCCATTTGCATGGAATATCTTTTCATATCACTTTACTTTTAGTTTATATGAATCTTTACATGTTAGGTGAGTCTCTTGAAGACAACAGATATTTGGTATGTGTTTTTAAAAATCCATTCGGCTAATCTATCTTTTAAGTGGGGCATTTAGGCCATTTACATTCAATTTTCATACTGAGAAGTGAGTTACTGTTTCAGTCATTATCTTAATCATTACCTAGACACTTTGTTTTCTTTATTGTGTTATTGTTTATAGGCCCTGTGAGTTTATGCTTTCAAGAGTTTCTATTCAGGTGAATATCTTAAGTTTCAGGATTTAGAACTCCTTTTTAGCATTTTCTTAGGGCTGATCTAGTAGTGGCAAATACCCCCCCAGCATTTATTTGTCTGAAAAGTGGGTTTATCGCTTCTTCATTTAGGAGAATTAGTTTTGCTGGACCCAAAATTCTTGGCTGACACTAATTCTGTTTAAGGAGGCTAAAGATATGACCACAATTCCTACTGGCTTATAAGGTTTCTTGTGAGAAATCCACCATTAGTCTGATAAGTTTTCCTTTAATGGTTACCTGGTGCTTTTGTCTCACTGCTCTCAGAATTCTTTCCTTTACATTGACTTTAGATATCCTGACGACTATATTCATTGGTGAAGTCTTTTTTGTGATGAATCTCCCAGGAGTTCGAGCTTCTTGTATTTGGATATCTAAATCTCTAGCAAGGCCAGTGAAGATTTCCTCAATTATTCCCTCAAATAAATTTTACCAAATTTCGCTTTCTCTTCTCCTCTCAGGAACCACCACTTATTCTTAGGTATGGAAGTTTTACATAATCCCATATTTCTTGGAGACTTTGTTTAATTCTTTTTATTCTTTTTTCTTTATTTTTGTCTGACTGAGTTAATTCAAAAGCCATGTCTTAAAGCTCTGAATTTTTTCTTCTACATGTTCTAGTCTATTGTTGAAACTTTTCACTGCATTTTGTAATTCCCTAAATGTGTCTTTTATTTTCAAAAGTTCTACTTGGTTTTTCTTTAAAATATCTAATTAGAAAATTTTTCATTCATATCTTGAATTTTTTAAAATTTCTTTATGTTGGTTTCCTCTTTTCTCTGGTACCTCCTTGAGTAGTTTCATAATCAACCTTTTGAATTCTTTGTCTTGTGTCAAAGGTTTCATCCATTGCTGGAAAGCTAGTGTGATCTTTTTGGGGTAGCATAGAACTCTGTTTTGTCAGATTAGCAGAATTATTTTTCTGGGTCCTAATCACTTGGGTAAACTATTTCTTCCAATTATTCTTGAATTTATTTTTTATTTGACTGTGTTTTTTTCCCCTTTAAGGATGTACATTTAATTTTTAGTTTATTGTAGCTTAATTCAGTTTTTGATGTTTTCGGGGTGATGACTGTATGAATTTCTTGATTATAGAGAGTCTTTGTTTGATGGCTTTCTCAGATACTGGTTGTAGTAGCAATATGTTCAGTGTGTGAGCAAGTTCACTGTCTCCTATGCGGTTGAAATGACAGATGTCTCCTGAAGCTTACCTCATTCCCCTGTGGTTTGCACTGTATTTATTTATTTATTTATTTATTTATTTATTTTCCCCCAGTATTTTGTTTACTGGGTTGAATAGTTCAGGCTTCAGGAAAGTAAGGGAGGTATCTCTGGGTAGAAACCATTTGTGGCTAATGTAGGTGGATAAATGCAATATCCCATATTGGGCAGAGATCCCAGCCTTAACAGAGGTGGATGAAGGAGCTCTCAGTGAAATGCACTGAAGTCTTATCAGGGTTGAGGATGACAGCTACCTCAGCTACTCTTCCAGGCCAGTGGAAAAGTGATCCACTGCTCAGACAGACTCCTACCCCAGTGTTCTGGCTATTCAGATCAGACAGGCACCACTTTTCATATGCAGGAATATTGATGTTCCAAGTAGGGAGGAATTATGATTCTACTCTTTATGCAAACCTGAACCTGGAGAGTGCTTCATCTTTGGGGTTGAAGTCACCCTGAAGTGTTCCAAAATGGCTGTCTATAGGTACCTCCACCCCAAGTTCCTGTGGGAGATGCCCCAGTTGTTTCTGCAGTGGTGAAAAAGGGGGACAAGAATTTCCATTCTCCAAGACCCTTCACAAGCGCCAGGGCTACCTGTCTGTTGATGCAGAGCTGCAGACTTTCCCAACTGAGCCCGGAACAGCAAATGTGCCTCTGCTGAAAGAAACATCCCACCAGTGGAATAATCTGAGATCCAAGAGTTGCCATCTGGATTCTTTTGTCCCATGGCATGTTCTCTTGATATGGTGTTCTCCTTTCCCTAAGAGTAAGAGACCCTGAGAGCCAGACTACTGTGAATGCTGTTGCTTCTCTGGTTCTAGCTGCCCAGCTGAGCTGCCACACTCCAGGCTGTTGCTGGGGAATGTCTGCAAGGGATCCCGTGATGTGACCTGTCCTCAAGTCTCCCAGCAGGACCTATTTTGATAAGGGTGGCAGGGTAGTGATGTAGACTCTGAGATTCCTTGGTTATAAATAGCCTTAATGTGTTGGGCTTTCTCAAATGCCAGTTGTAGTAGTAATAAACTGGTCAGGACCTCCTGGTTACCCAAGGTAGTGCAGGCAATGGTGATAGCTGAGGTTGTCCACAAGTTTTCACATTCCTGGATGCAGATTATTCTGCCTGTAGATGCTGTGATGAACTGTGTCAGTTCTCCTTCAGTCAGGAGGTGGGACTTGCAAAAGAGTACTAGCTGCAGTAGTAGTGGTGGGATTCATGTGTTTGCCTTATGTTACCCATGGGAGATACTCCAGTTTCTCAAGTGATGGGTGGGACCATTGGGCTCCCAAAAGTTTCTGTCCTTTGTGTTAAGCTACCAGGGTAGGTTGAAAGGCAAAGCCAGGTTGGGGCTGAGCCAGTCAGGTCTGAGTTCTGGCTCTCTACATGCAGGGCAAGCAGAGGCCCCTGTGGGAATTGAGGGATAGTTCTCTGGCCTCTAGGGTAATGTTCTAGGAAGCGGTGTAGCTGCCTCTGCAGCAAAGAACAGTTTGTGCAGGGAGTGGGAAATAGCAGGTGGCAGTAAGCCTCACCCATATCCCATGCACTTGGCAAGGCAGGTTTCTCATGAAAGTGTTACAGTGTTTGCTAGGAGCAGCTAGCTAAATTCCAGGTAGTCTACATTCAGAACTCAGGATGACCCCAGGCCATATGCTTTCTCCATAGAGACAGGAACCATTGCTTTCAGGTCATGCCCCTCCCTGTCTGCCCAGACAGCCAGGGTTCCCAGCTCCTGTGCCCACGGTTGCAGCAACTTCCCACTCACCCCCTGGTTCTGACTAAGGGAGTTCATTCCTACTCAAGATTATATTATGAATTTCAGTTGGGAGCTTCTTTTCACCTACCATCATTCCCTGAGGTAGTTGGCTAACTTCTGCGAGGTGCCTTGTGATGTAGAATCAGGAATGGCTTCCCTCAATCTGCACTGGAGACTGGGAAGGCATGCAAGGCTCTTCCTGCTGTCCCTCCTACTTTTGGATTCCCCACCACTTCCTATATCAGTTTCAGCACTGAGTAGGGTTAAGACCTTCCCCCATGGGCTGAATTGTTATGTTCCCCAGTAGGAGGCAGTCTCCCCATTTCTCACATGCTAGGGACTTACAATTTTTTGCCTGGCTCATGGTGTAGGCTGCACCCTGTTGCTTCTTTCAAAGGGTCTGTGTTTTCTTTCAATTTTCCTGTTAAGTTCCTTCATTGCTTCTTGGAAAAAAGTTCATAGTGTGAATTTCTGGTCACTATTTTGTCTTTCCAAGTTGGAGAGGCATGTTAACATTGCCTCCAATTTGCCATCTTGGAAAACACACACACACACACACACACACACACACACCCAGAGAGTGAGACTCTTTTAGTACACACACACACACACACACACACACACACACACACAAGCAGTGAGACTCTCTTAATACCCTTTTTACCTGGTCTAGAGGAATGTCATAAAATGAAGAAACACTAAAGCAGTCTCTAAACCTGCCTATTTCCTTCAAAGATCTTCTCTTATCAATAAATTATCAGATGTGTGATGGGTGATTCTCTAAAGGTTTCTTGGGTTTTTGACACCTCAGATTTATATTATTATTTATATAATTTCATATTATAAGAAGTCATATAATTTTGCTGAAACTAAGTTGCTGTAAGCAACATAAATATGGTACTGATGATTAATGCAATAATTGTTTTGATTTTTACTTTATCTATATTTTATACCTATTCAATTCTCCCATTTCTTTTCTCTATATAAACTGCTAGGTATCCTGATGTTTTTGGCCATTAAATAAACTGACATGGTTCTCTTATTATTGGCTCCAAAAATTAAAATAATAGTTTTTGGCCTTTACATGATTGAAAACACAACTGTAATTTAAGATTTTTCAATTCCAAGGCCATTATAATGTGCTCATTCATATGGTTAAGAATTTTTTTATTTTCAAATTATCATTGAATTATAGATGTGTAATATGTAGATAAACCCTAATTTTAGAAGCATTGATATAAACCAAGTAATTTTATGTTATTTCAAATATATAGTCACAATGATTCTAGGAGTATAAAAGATTTCCTTGTGATTGGTCTTTTATATGGTTGAGGATGATCTGATGTTGTCAAAATCAAATTGGACCTTTAAAAGTACTAGATCTATATGTTTTTTATAGGAAGCTATCATTTACCAACACTTTTTCTTAAAAATGGTATAGAAAACTTGCCGGTAGATATATGTGATATGTGCTATTTTTGTCTGCTAGACATATTTATAAAAGGAACATGTTGGAGTTCAGAAGCCAATATCCCAAAATATGGCATTTTAACATGCTGAACAGAAGAAGAAATCTCAAGGTCTCTTTGATCTTCCCCTCCTCCCCACCGTCTTTCCCAAAGAGCTGAAGTTCCTTTATTTTCTTAAAATCCAGACCTATTAAAGAAAAAATACTTTTCTTATCTTCCCTATAAGATCAAAGTGGTAGCCACACCTCAACAGATCTTTTTTCAAAATAATGATCATCTCCAAATATCAATTGTTTAAATTCCAAAGAGAACTATTTACAAGTTCCCTGATCTAATCATTTTCACCAATAATCACTTATTGCCCCTCAATAGAATTCTTCTTCTCTCTCTGTCAATAGAACTCCTATTTTCCCCCTCCCATAACCTGTTTTACCAGAATCCAAGACCCCATTCTTTCTGTAACTGCAAGATGGTATTATTATATAAGCTTCAGTAACCTTATCAGAAAGTTGGGTATTCATTTTGAAGACTCCTGTGTATACAAGTTGAATGAATTTTTATGTTTTTTCTCGTGTTAATCAGTCTGCCACATGTCACTGATTTTCAGTGAACATTTAGGGGTCTAAGAGCCTATGTTTCCCACATAAATCTTCAAACTCCATACTTGGGTTAGAAACAGAAGGTGAGCTTAGTTATCACTGGGTATCTTATCACAGTGTCCAGAAGTTTTTAAAAATGTTCTTGAAATATTTTCATATATTGTTAAAGTCAATAAAGTGGCTGACCCTAGAGTGTGTCTTTCCAACTCCCACATACTTGTAGAAGTATGTGGAAGAAAAGAAAAGAAAAAGAGGTAAAAACAACCTCCATGTCTCCTGGCTGTTGCTACTTTATCAGTTGTTGCTCTCAAATGCTCTGGCACCAGATGAAGATTTAGCTGAGTATATCAAGGTTTCCTGGGACCATATTTTCCATTTCACTGTATTCTTCACAGTTTCACACATTGATGCATATGTAGAAGTCTAGTAGACTCATGATGTTCAGATAAATGCTAAATATGGCTCATCAAGTTACTGAGAGAATAAGAAGGGAATTTTCTGTGAAATCCTGGTTCAAATTTTGGGGAGTGTAATAAATAAACAATGAAAAGAATACTGAATAATCTCAATTGAATTTATTATTTGTTTTTCTGAACCTCACATGGAGAAGTTTGTCCAGAAGAGATAATTTTATAATTTATTCAAACCAATAGGTAATCACAGGTTTCTCTCTCAGTGACATAACTCAGGGTATAGGATCTTTTGATTTAAATCTCTTGGACTATACACCAAGGTGCCATAGCGTTTTAGTTGCAATCTGCAATCTTGATTTTGACAGTCTGTGATTTGTAACCATGCTGTGCAGGATGCAATAACATTGTCTACCTCTTATCTTCAAGGGTGCAAAGAGAGAAAATGACTGTTTACTAGTATGTTGACCTCAAGAACTTGTAAATATTTTAATAATACCATCACCATCAAAATTTCCAGGAAATACCTTGTGTATTTGCTGTAGTGTATTTCCTGTTTTTCCTAGCTGGAAATTTAGAAATAAGCTCTACCAGGAATAAGAGTTTAGCTCTTTTTAAAATTTTAATCTGCTTATTACTACTTAAAAATAAATTGCATTTGTACTATTTTCAGATAGGAAATTTTAGTAAGAAAATTGTTTTAAATAGTTCCTTATTAAGGTTAGCATTTGCAAATTTCCCCTGATTTATATTTGCACTTGAAAATGATCATGAAGAAATATTTAGATACATCTGGCAATAAAAAATTTATGTAATAGCAGGCCAATGAAACTCATTAGCTTCCAAAATGATGTATATGTTATTTATATAAAAGCTAGGAATTATGTTTGATTTTAAAATCTTCATTTAGATCAATAATTAGGCAGTTTTAGGAATTAACTGATTCATGGAATAAGGCATCATTACTTTGCAGTTTCGAACAGGAGGTGTAATTCAATTACTATAAGGCAAATGTTTGGCTAATCTGAGCTTGCTTTTTTATATAAAATCAATACTCACTATCATATCAATTTTCCAAAGTAAACTATCAAGATATATATTGCATGCTATGTCTATACTATGCACTGTAAACATAAAGGAAAACTATCATTGAAATGAGAGTTATATAAGTAAAATGAGTATTGTTAAGCCAGTAGATAAAAATAACTGAATCACATAAAGCCACTAATCAAAATCAAAGGAGAAAAACATTCTTAGCATTATTCTGATTTTTTTCTTGGTAATTGGTTTTCTTTCTTCATACCTTTGGAATTAGAGGAGACCTTTTAATGGAAGAAAAAAGACACACTGTGGAAATGAAAACTTGACAGACTCACAGGATTAACACCCGGTTTCCTTTCCAGATTTGTTAATGATAGACTTGCTCACAATGCCCCTAACTCTAGGAAATATTATTAGTTGGCAACCCACATTTAGTGTTCATTGTATTTGCATCAGATCATGTATATCTATCTGACTTGTTTCTCTTTTTTGCATTTTCCTTTTTATGTCAGTTTGAAATATTACCATTGGATGGCAAATGCTGAAATAAAAGTTATTTTTCCTTAGCCTTTTAA